>NC_000002.12:26298869-26451619 GCF_000001405.40 Homo sapiens | reverse complement strand
TCATCATGGCTCACTGCAGCCTCAACCTTCTGGGCTAAACTGAGCCTCCCAAGTAGCTGGAACTATAGGCATGAGCCACTGTGCCTAGCCCAGCCAACTCTTTTTACAGGCATGTCAGGATACTCAGCTTTGGGCTAGCAGTACTAAAAACATTTTTCATTCACATTTTTCATTTTTAAATTAAAATGTTATATGACTTTTAATATGGCATCTTCTTTAAAATAGTTAATATTTGATTCACCTTCTGAAATCAATTACAATCAAGATATGTAGGACAAATGGGCCTTGCCTTGCGGGAAAGTGTTAAGGATCAAAATATTCAGAACCTGGTGGGCTCTGGTCTCACAGTGGCTGAGACCTGGTTTTGAGGGAGGGTGCAGGAAAAGATTGCTTGGGCCTCAGTATAAGAACAGCATCTCACCCCCAAGCCATTCTTCCCTTTACAAAGAGACAAATTGATAAACAATAAGGGAAATGCTAAGTTAGCTATACCTGACATAAAAGCCCCGCTATTTCTCCAGAAGTGCTACTCAAAGACAGCACTGTGCTCTGGGGGCTTCGGGACAATTGAAAATGCAGGGACATGGATGAAGCTGGAAACCATCATTCCCAGCAAACGATCACAAGATCAGAAAACCAAACACCGCATGTTCTCACTCATAAATGGGAGTTGAACAATGAGAACACATGGACACAGGGAGGGAAACATAACACACCGGGGCCTGTCGGGGGGTGGGGGCTAGGGGAGGGATAACATTAGGAGAAATACCTAATGTAGGTGATGGGTTGATGGGTGCAGCAAACCACCAGAGCACATGTATACCTATGTAACAAACCTGCATGTTCTGCACATGTAACCCAGAACTTAAAGTATAATAAAATAAATAAATAAATAAGAAAGAAAGAAAATGCTTTCTTCTCTCTGCACCTTGCCTTACCTGGAGGCTGGAAGATAAACGGTGAGCTCGATATTTAAGGAAGAAGTTCACCAGTTTATACAAGTCATCCTCACTTTCAATTCCAAGGGCCTGGGGCGAAAAACAGGATGGTTGCTCAAACACCCCATCAAGAGGCCACGGGCTTGGGCAGCTGACAGATGCTCAGCTCCTAAGAGCGGGAGGCTTGGCTTGTGGAGGGCATTCATCCAACGCTGGGAAGCGACTGTGAACTTGGGGACACACACATCAGAACACACGGAAACAATGCTCATAGAGCCAGGAGCTGCTCCATATGGATCCCATGGCTGTGAGGATGCCTAGTGGGGCTGCACCAGATTTGAGTTTGGGGGTGTCAGGGAGAACCTACAACCTGAGAGGAAGATGCTAGTAGAGGAAGAGGCAGGGGTGGGAGACACTGCAGTGAGTCTGAGACCAATGTGTTGTGTGGAGAGTAGGTTAAGGGAAGGATGTGACAGGGAGCAGGGGAAGCCCCGGGAGACCCTCGTCCACTGCCAGGGTTGAGGCAATGGCAGGGCCATCTGAGAACACGGCCGGCTGCAGCCCCACCCGTGTCCTCCCAGCCCCGTTGGACTCACGGAGAAGATGGCATCCAGCCTCAGCAGATAGCATTCATTCTGCTCCAGGGGCAGGAGAAGGCTCAGCAGCTTGCTCTCTATGAGGAACCCCTGGGGAGAAGGAAGAAGGCATCTCCTGTCGGGGACAGGTTTCAGGAGCGAGTCCCAGGGTCTGCAGCTGCCCCCTGTGTAACACTCCAGGGACCATGCCACGGAGCAGACGCCCAGGGATGGGAGCCAGCAGTGGGCCCCAGCAAAGCCTTCTTGGGGTGCCCATGAACGCCCCCCTCCCCAGGGAGCAAGGCCAGAGACAAGCAAGGCCAGGGACAAAGCCCATCCTCACCACAGACTTAGCTTTTCCCACCCAGAAGGGCACCAACCCACCTCACCCACAAGCCACTAGGCAAACTCCTGAGGCCCCCACCACAGTCCAAAGCTGACCCAGTCACAGGCTCCTGCTTCACCCATAGTCTTGTCCCCAAATATCTACAGAACACAGCAGCAGGACAGGGAGGCATGGAAAGCAGTGGGCACCCCAAACCAAAACACAGCACACATGCGGTGGAAGGGAGAGGGCGGCTGAGCAGATGCGGTGCCCGCTCTGAGCTGGGATGCCTGGGGGAGA
The DNA here is from genome assembly GCF_000001405.40 of Homo sapiens. NCBI lineage: Eukaryota > Metazoa > Chordata > Mammalia > Primates > Hominidae > Homo > Homo sapiens. The sequence continues at coordinate 26,449,481 of NC_000002.12, read as the reverse complement.
GCTCCATGGGGAGGTGGCCTCTGCATCCAGCTGCAGGTTCAGAGGGCAGAACCTGCCACCTGACCCCTTCAGCAGCAGCTGCCCTCAGTGGCAAGAGCCAGCCAAAGGCAACTGCCCTCACTATCCTAAAAGAATACCCACTTCAGAACCGTAAGATCCAAACAAACACTGCCCATGTTTGACCACAACCCAACCTCCAGCTGAACCAGCTCAATGCAGCTTTTATTCTAAGGCTAATCATGTTTGCTAACATACAATGCAGACATCCAAATCCCAACATAGCCAGAGTCACCCCCAAAACAAGCCCCTGAGAAGGGCCATGTCAGTGTGGCCACATCACTTAGCAAGTTGGTTCATGGAGGTGAGCTGGTGCAACTTCTGTCTCAGAAGCAGCATCATTTTAAGCTGGCAGGAGCCCTCCAGCTGGCCTAAACTATGCCATGCTGGCCAACCAAGGTTAGACCCATTTTCCAGCTGGGCCAGCTCAGAGGCAAGGCCTCTATGAACCGGCCCTGAAGTCCAGGGGCCATCCTGACTCTGCTCCTCAGGGCCCAACCCTGGGCTTGGCCAGGGGAGGACTGGCCCACTCCTGACTCCAGGCTAGCACTGGCCCAGCAGAGGCCTCAGAACCTGCACACCCCCGTGAGTCCCTCTGCTGCAGCCCCCGCCTGGCCTCACCGACTCGTCACACAGGAGCATCAGGATCCTCTTGGTAGTTTTTTCAGAAATTTGCTTCGGCAAATCCAGGTAGGACTCTGGTTCCGCGGCGGCCTCTTCTGCCTCCTCCTCTTCTGCAGTTGGGTCATGGGGAGGAGAGAGAAAGAAAAAGAAGATAATTTCTGGAGCTAGTTGACTCTGAGAAACAGTCAGATGGCTTTCCTTGAGAAAATGTACCTCTTAAAAAGCCTCTGTGAGGCATTCTCTCAGTCTCTTTATGATGAAAAAAGCCTATTACGTGGCGGGAAGGCGGGCTAGGGGGTCGGAATCAGAGACTACCTGGAGAACTCGGCCATTCCCAGCCAGCCTGTAATGCCCTACTTTTCCAAATTGCGTCTACCTGGAAACATCATACTCAAAATCCAGCCATGAACCAGGAAGTGGGAGGGAGAGTGTGAGCCCATTTATTCTTATTTCAGAGATGATCTAGCAAGTGGCTATATAGTCTCTAAACCTGCAACAGATTAGACAGAAGCAGCCAACTCAAAGCAGGGGCAGGTGGCTTTGCACATTCACAGATAATTTTTTTTTTTTTTTTTTGAGATGGAGTCTTGCTCTGTCACCCAGGCTGGAGTGCAGTGGTGTGATCTCAGCTCACTGCAACCTCCGCCTCCTGGGTTCAAGTGATTCTCCTCCCTCAGCCTCCCAAGTAGCTGGGATTACAGACACCCACCGCGACACCTGGCTAATTTCTGTGTTTTTCGTAGAGATGGGGTTTTGCCACATTGGCCAGGCTGGTCTCGAACTCCTGAACTCAAGTGATCTGCCTGCCTCGGCCTCCCAAAGTGCTGAGATTACAGGCATGAGCCACGGCGCCTGGTCCAGAGAAATATTAACAGCAAGAACTGACAGCTGACAGCAAGAGCCAAAAATTTTCTTAATTAAAATTAACTTCTTAGGCCAGGCGTGGTGGCTCATGCCTGTAATCCCAGCACTTTGGGAGGCTGAGGCAGGTGGATCACTTGAGGTCAGGAGTTTGAGACCAGCCTGGCCAACATGGCAAAACCCCGTCTCTACTAAAAATACAAAAATTAGCTGGGCATGGTGGCACGCACCTGTAATCCCAGCTACTCAGGAGGCTGAGGCAGGAGAATCGCTTGAACCCAGGAGGTGGAGGTTGCAGTGAGCCAAGACTGCACCACTGCACTCCAGCCTGGGCAACAGAGTGAGACTGTCTCAAAAAGACAAAAATAAAACAAACGAACAAAAAACATAATTAAATTGTAAAAAACCATTCCCTAATAATCAAAAGCAAAACGAAACAAAAATACCTATATGTGTATCAAGCTGGTGATATAACCACACAGAAACTATTCCAAGTGCATTTATTTTTATTTATTTGTTTATTTATTGAGACAGAGTCTCGCTCTGTCACCCAGGCTGCAGTGCAGTGGCATAATCTCGGCTGACTGCAACCTCCACCTCCCGGGTTCAAGTGATTCTCCTGCCTCAGCCTCCTGAGTAGCTGGAATTACAGCCGCGCGCCACCATGCCCGGCTAATTTTTGTATTTTTAGTAGAGACAGGGTTTCACCATGTTGGTCAGGCTGGTCTCAAACTCCTGACCTCATGATCCGCCCATCTTGGCCTCCCAAAGTGCTGGGATGACAGGCATGAGCCACCGCACCCGGCCTATTTTTATTTTTTTTTTAATTTTTATTATTTTTTATTTTTTTGAGAAAGAGGCTCACTCTGTTGCTCATCCTGGAGTGCAGTGGTGCAATCTTGGCTCACTACAACCTCCACCTCCCGGGTTCAAGCGATTCTCCTGCCTCAGCCTCCTGAGTAGCTGGGATTACAGGCGCACGCCATGACCGGCTAATTTTTTGTATTTTTAGTAGAGACAGGTTTTCGCCATGTTGGCCAGGCTGGTCTCGAATTCCTGACCTCAGGTGATCTGCGCGCCTTGGCCTCCCAAAGTGCTGGGATTACAGGGGTGAGCCATCGCACCTGGCTCCAGGTGACTTTAAAATATAGCAATCTGTCTGTACATCCCTGGAGGGACACATTTTAAGAATAAAAGGAACCATAAAACAGTGTAAACTGTCTTTAGTAATCATTTGTTGGTGGCAGGGCTGATATTTTCCTCTGAGGCAGTTCTGTGGTGCTGTGGGGAAGGCATGTGATTCATTATTTTGAAGTCACTGAGCACTAAGATTTTAAAGTTGGAAGAAAGGGGATACACTTTGATACTGTTAAATAAAAATCCTGGCATCCTGTTGATGAGGAGGTATTAGAATGAACTCATGATTTATTTTATTACCAAAAAAAAGAAATCCTATACTCTCAGCTCTGTCCACTGAAAAGGCCTAGAAACAATGGCCAATCCAAAACAATAAGCACCCAGCGCCCACAGCGTGGTTTCTAAATACCATTCCCTGGGCATGCATGGTGACACAAGCCTGTAATCCCAGCACTCTGGGAAGGAATCGCTTGAGCCCAGGATTTGAGACCAGCCTGGGCAACATGGCAAATCCATGTCTCTACAAAAAAATACAAAAATTAGCTGGGCATTGTGGCATGAGTCTTTGGTCCCAGCTACTCGGGAGGCAGAGGTGGGAGGATTGCTGAAGCCTTGGCGGCAGAGGTTGCAGTGAGCCGAGATCCCACCACTGCCCTCCAGCCTGGGCGACAGAGTGAGACCATCTCAAAAAAAAAAAAAAAAAAAAAATTCCCTATTTGAAAGGACCAGGGGATCCTTGGAGAAATGGCTGATTCCAGACAAGAGGCAGGAAAAGTATAATGTGTGCCTTGAACACCTGGTCATCCTGGAGAGCCAGGACGCTGTTAAAAAAAACTACTAGGGCTAGCCAAGCGTGGTGGCTCACACTTGTAATTCCAGCCTTTTGGGAGGCTGAGTTGGGGGGATCACGGGCTCAGGAGATGGAGACCATCCTGGCCAATATGGTGAAACCCTGTCTCTACTAAAAATAAACAAAATTAGCCAGGTGTGGCAGTGCGCACCTGTAGTCCCAGCTCCTCGGGAGGCTGAGGCAGGGGAATTGCTTGAACCCGGGAGGCGGAGGTTGCAGTGAGCCCAGATCGCGCCACTGCAATCCAGCCTGGCAACAGAGCGAGACTCTGTCTCAAAAATAAATAAATAAATAAATAAATAACTACTAGGGCTGAATCAAAAGGACCCAGAAGCCAATATGAAGATTTCCACTAGCCAAAGATGGAACAATTTGAGCCTCAATAAGGATAATTACTTTAGTAAACTAAAATACATCAAATTTGTTTAAACTCATGCATTCATAATATTTTTTAAAAACTCATTGGTACCTTTGGAAGATGCTAGAGGCCCAACCCATTATTTTGAAAACTGGTAAACAGAGAAAAAATAAGCATCTATCCTGCTTTTCATATACAGACTATCTCAGGGTAGCAAATTGCTGAGGAAGGGAAGATTTTCTTTTAAGAAGTATTCTGTTAAATAAAGACACAAGAACAGAATCTAACATATCACCATTTTGCAATCCCTAATACAGTTAATGGATCTTAGACAATGATTAGCAATGGTTGCTAACATCACAAAAAGGGAGACAATTTAACATTAGTTTATCCCGATGGAGGTACTACACAATAGTGTACTTAGCAAAAATAAATTGGACCTGCATCTGATCAAGCTTCTAGACCTAACTGCCAGTTTATAATACAGGAGAGAGAGCAAAGCTATAAATTAGAGGAGACTTAAAAGCGATACCAATAATCATACTCTTCCCCCTCCTCCCTAGACTATCTCTAACGTGACTGGCTTGACCCGATGTTCTCAGGGGGCTCCTCCAGCTCTAAGGCTCTATGACAGTGTTCTAGTCACCTGAGCGCATAAGCATTTCTTCTACTATCTGTGTGGCGGACTTCTGGGGCTGCTGAGAAATAGGCCCAACATTGTTCAGGAACCAGAAATCAGGTGCTGCCCAGGGAAGCCCCAGATGATGGGTGTGGATGATCCTGTCCACATCAAAGGCTCTGGCTATTAGGTCCTTCGCCTCCTCTTCATTCATCAGCCAAATCTCCCAAAACTTCTCATCATCAATAAGAGCAAAATGCCTGTGAAGGAGAGTCACAGAGCATGGCCAGCTGGCCCCAGGACCTGGCCAGGGTCCCCTCAAATAGCAGCAGGGCAGGAATATGAAAAGGAGCTGTGCTAATTCCTGGGCCTGGCCCCATCCCTGGGCGGCTGATTCCCACTTACGATAAACTGGAAGCCATCCCAACACATCTCAAGAAAAGGCAGGTGACACGCAAGTGAAGGGCCAGGGGAACACACCACAAAAGGTTAACTAGTGCCTGGTCCAGCCCCAGAATAGCTGGTGACATCAAGTCCAACGAAATCACAGCTTGTACAAACTCCATCCCCGTCACCTCTATGCTAGGACAAGTGCCTTAGGACCAAGTCCTTAAGATACCTCATGGCTTTCTGTAGCTCCTTGAATTGCATCACAAGACGTTTGTAGTCCGAGGTTAGAGACTGGTTCTCCTCCTGAAACTGCTTTATTTGCTTGGCATATTTTGATCTCAGATTGTTAAGTATATCATGCAGGCTGGTTGAAGGAGAAAAAGGTTAGTCTGCAGCTGAATAGAAGGTATTATGTATGTTCCTCTCATCCACCTGATTCAGCTCTACCACAAACCCAGGAGCAGATCTGTGGAAGAGCAGAAAACCCTCCCATATATTCCAAAACACAGATCCCATTTTGATCAACAAAAGGAAGGCAACAGGAGATCTTGGGACAGTCCAAAACGAAACGCATTGAAAACAATCCAGAGCCCATTCCCACCAAGAGGCAGCCTCCTACTCAAGACTGTGGACAGAACCTACTTCACAATACATCATTTGTCAGAATGCCCATACCCATACCTAGGGCCAGCCTCACATATTTAAATAATCTATCTCAACGATTTCATTGTCATGACTTGGATGTTTAATTCAATCATGAAGCAAGAAAATTTTAAAGAAAAAAAATGCATATCACAAAAGCCTATGATACATAAATCTTCCAGCCTCAAAGAGCTGATACCGTTAACAGGTCCAGTAACTCATTCATTCATTCATTTATTCACTCATCCACGTATTCATTAAACAAACATGAAATGCCACTTTTGCGCAAGGATATGTTGAAAGACAAAGATGAATACAAAGATACGTTTCAATACAAGGTACTATCAGTCTAGTCAAAAACAAAGACAAACGTTAATTACAGTACAGCGTGGAAAGTGCTATAGGAGAGTTTTATGCAGGGTGCCAGGGGAGCCCAGAGGTGAGGCATCTAACTTACCCAGGCTTGCAGGGGAGGGGGTGGTCCAAAATTTCCAGAATAGCAAGAGGCAGTTAAAACCTGTCCAATAGCACTGTGAATCCAGGCACGGCACAGCTCACCATCTCACTGCTAACAGGAGCTCTGTGCATGGAAACTCGGCCCATAAAATATGCATGGCAGGCGCAATGTTTAGACCCAGGCCCATACTTCAGACTTCAAACTACTACAGAGGTGGCTCTTATCAGTGCCCCATTCACACAGTAACAGAGAAGCTGAAGGCCAACATATTTTAAGTTTAGAAATTCTAAAAATAAGATTTTCCCTCTCCTAAGCATTATTCTGAAATGATCAAAATGTCTCTCAAATGCAAACATTCATCATTCATATTTTCATCATCAAGAAAATGCAAAAAAAGTCGTTACCTTAGTCTCTGATAGAAAGAAACAGCTAACCCATTTCCTTAACTACAGCCTTCAAGGAGGCTTTCCAAGCACAGATGTAAAAATAAGTAGTCATTCCAAAGTGTTTTTTCCCAATGTCATGCAGTAAAGGAGTTCCTATGTGTCATCTAATTACCGAAGCTAACAAAACAAACTCCAGGTGCATACTGAAGGTCTGGGCAAGATAGCAGGCGAGGAAGTGAACAGGGAAGAATGGCTGCAAGAGGAAGCTCAACAAAAAAAGTCCAGAGTTCTTAGTGCCTGGAAGCTAGAGATGCAGGGGAGTGAGGCTGGAGAACTGGAAACAGGGAGCAGAGGCAAGTCTGGTTTCAGAAACTGTGCCCTGGAAATGACAGGGCCTCTCCAAGCTGAACTGTTACGTTGGCAGTTCCAGGTAAATGAAAGGTGAGCTCAGGATTGGGGATATGAGGTTGGCAGTCATCAACAAAAAGGGGATATTCAAAACCATGAGACTGAGGTATGTGGCAGATGAAATAAAAATTAAAAGCAATGGTAAGGCCTGGATTTTCTAGATTGTCTTATCTAGATACTCAAGACATATCAAGCAAGGAAAAGCAGAACCACCAAAGGAAACAAATACATTAAGAAAGAAGAGCAAATATTTTAGGGTCATTTAAACCAAAGAAGAAAATCCAGTATCCAATCATAATAGATGAGGCCTGAGGAGAAGCCACTGCGCTTGGCTAGAAGGGCATCATCAGTATCCTACTGTGGGAAGTTTTTGTCCAATCCTGGGGTCATAGGTTGCTACGGCTTGAATGTAACTCCTCCAAAATTCAGTGTTGTCAATGTGATAATATTAAGAGGCAGGACCTTTAAGAGGTAATGAGGCCATAAGGCCTCCTCCATCATGAATGGGATTATGGGATTAAGGCCTTTATAAAAGAGGCCTCCCAAAGCCTTAGGCCAGCTTGCTCTCCCGCTCTTCTACTGTGTGAGGACACAGCATCCCTCCCCTCTGAAAGATGCAGCCCTCACTAGAAACTAAACCTGCCAGCCTTGATCTTGGCCTTCCCAGACTCCAGAACTGTGAGAAATAAACTTTTGCCTTTGTAAATTATCCAGTCTCAGGTAGTCTGTTAGAGCAGCACAAACAGATATGTCAAATTGTGAAATGCTGGGTGGTGGTGAGCAGGAAAGGAAAATGGCAATGAAAGCAAGAGACGAAAAGATGGTGCTTAGAAACAGCAGGGTCCGTTGAAGGGTTTTTCAGGCTGAGGGAAAGCTGTCTGAGTTTGAAATAAGAGGGAAGATTCCACTCATCTCTCAGCCACACGCATCAAACCCAAGCTCTGCCTCAAGCGCCTCCTCCCGCCTCCTACCTTACCCATTCTCTTCACCCACTGTGTGACTTTCTGAATCCTACCTCCTTGCCTTCAGACCAGCCATTCCCAGCTGCCAGCACTGTCCACCTGGAGTCTCCTCTTAACTGCTTTTTGCCAATTCATGTCCCCACCCCCTCCAGTATTTCACTTCTTTGGGAAGCTTTCCCAGGTGCCTCCTCACTGTATTGATGTGTGCCTTTCTTGGATGTTCTGCTATCTAGTACGGTGCATATATAGTGGGAATTTTTTCATAAATATTGTCCCCTGTCTATTCTTATTTCTCAGATAATCAGGCTTAAGATGCCATCCCATTTATTCAGTATCATTTTCTGTAATAAGTAACTACCAAAAGGTCAACTGATGTTCCTCTATACATTCAACATGTGTCCAAAATGTATGTATTACCAACCTACAAGTGGAATTAATTCCTAAATAATAATAGGCTATTTGGGGTTTGGAGGGAAATCCCCAATCTTGTCTCCTTCCACAAGCAAGAAGTCTTATTTCACTCTGGTCCTCAGAGCCTAGCACAATGGTCTGAAACTTAGAATGCAATTCTTAAAGGAAGAAAGGCAGGAAGGATAGGAGTAAGGAGATGAGGAAGAAGGGAAGGATGTATGAGAAATTTCAAGCAATAGGTACCTTTCAGTGAGCCACGGTATCTCCACAAAAGCAAACTGGCACATGTCATGAGTACTTAGGTTGGTATTATTTGCAAGAGGAAAAGGTTGGAAGCAATCTACATGTCCATCATTAGAGACTGGTCAAATAAATCATAGTGCATCTATGCAGTGGGTAGTAAGCAGCTTAAGAAACTGTGAAAGCTCTCTATGAACTGGGATGGAAAGGCCTTCAAGATATACAGGAGTGTGTACAGACTGCCATCATTTATGTAAAAGCAGATGGGGGATGAGAATATTTGTGTGGGCTTGTATATGCCTAATGAAATTCTGGAAGAGACAAACAAATAATGGTTACAGAGGTAGGAAAGAGGAACAAGATGAATGGGGACGGAAGATCTTTTGCTATGTACTCTTTTCTTGGGGAGAGATTGAATGTATTAACTTTTCCAAAAAACTATTTTAATAAGTGTTGGTTATATTTTTAATGGTTTCTACCCCTTCAATAGAAAAAAGTACATATCCATCCCTATTCTCAGCACAGAAGGCCCAGAAGAAAGACGCTCTGCATGCTAGCTTACCGATTGATCTTCCTCTTCTGCTGGGATTTAATTACTGTGCTTTCTTCATCTCTCTTCTTCAGCACCTGCAAGTTGTACTCTAATTTCTCTTGGTTTAGCTGATAAATTGCTTTCCTCTGCTGAAGCTGCTGCTCAAGAATCTAAAGTTAAAAAAACTATATATATATATATACACACACACACACACACACACACACAAACACACTAACTCTACACCTGCATCCTTAGTATTATATACACTAGAGTATTTAAAATGTCTTTTGGGGAACATGCTTTATATAGGTAAATATTTACATAGACATACTTATATAATCCTGTTTATGTCTGTTTATTTACCTAGCTATGCATAGCCATATTCAGATGTATTCATCTTTGTACCTATATTCATAAAGAATAAAGAGGTAAAAGTATTGGTAGAAATTTATACTGGAAGTAATATAAAAAGAAACTTTCCTACATTTATAAACTTATCTGCTCTGTGAATTATATCTAAAATTGTATGCAAATAAAGGTATGCTCTGAAACACAAATATATATATGTGTGTATATATATATGTGTGTGTGTGTGTATGTGTGTGTGTATATATATATATATTCACACACTAGTTGGCCCTAGCTTGTGGGCCTCTGATAAATTGTTCAAGTCATGTCAGAGGAACCTTAGGGACAAGTGCCTCAGCCTGCATTTTTAGAAAATGTATCATGAGAGTCAAGTTAAAGGCCAACCAGATAAAATACAAGTCAATGAACTATAAGCTAAAATCTGTGTACCTAAAGCCTAAGAGAGATCACACAGCTTTCAAGTCCAAATAACTCTGCTAACTTCCGCCAGACCCTTTAGAGATATGAGTAGCCCCTCTAAAAACACCATAGAAATAAATATGGCCACAAAAACTTGAAATTTCCCCCACTTTGACCTTCCAGGGTAGAAGTGTTAGTGTTTAGCAACCCAGGCTCATTTAAAAGGAGGACAAACACAGTCATCCTTACTTTTTGGATTTCCATTAGCTGTATTCATTCATTCAGCAACTATTTATTGTGTGCCTAATCTATGTCAGATACTTTTCAAGGTGCTGTTGGGAAAACACTAGTGAGAAAGGCATAGTTCTGACCTGTCTAGAACAGAGGCAGATAAACAAACACTAGTGATAAGAAGCAAGATAGAGGGAAGGCCAGACCGTTATGGGACCAATGAGAGGAGCACTGTCCTTGGTCTTGAGGGACCAGGGAAGGGATCCCTGGAAGACGGCGTGTCTAGCTGAGACCTAGAGAATGTGCTGGAGTTACGCAGGTGCCACCTGAAGGGAGAGCGCTCTAGAGAGAGGAAATAGCATATATGAGGCAAGGGGGGTGGGTGCTTTGGGAAAACCACAAGAAGTTTTAGATGTGAGGCACGAGGAAAGGAATGGTCAGAAATGAGGCTGACAGAGCAGCAGAGCCTTCCCAAGCTAGGAATTTAAAGCATTATCCTGAAGTCAATGGAGGGTCACTGAAAATGTTAGGCAGGGAAGGAAAATGGTTGGTCCAGTCACTGTAGAAAGATCACCCTGACAGTTTGTGAAAAAAAGATCAGAGAGAGGCAAGGCTGGAGGCTGGCATGCTCCTGCTTCTCCCGAGTGAAATGCAGGAATGGGGAAGGCAATCAAGTGGAATCAGAAACTCAATAAAACTGCCACGTGTGTGCTATCTCCAGCCTCCATCCCATCTCCCTCTGCTGGACTACAGACTCTGGCCCAGGAATCGACAGAGGAAGTGATTCCAAGTGGCTATCACAGCCTACTCTGGGTCATACTCGAGGAGGGCCCCTGGCTAGGAGGTGACGCTTCACTGGGTCAGGAAGCACATCTTTTCCATGTTTGCTGTGGAATCCGGCGATCCCCACCCACATTGCCACAGAGGGAATTAGTCAAGGATATTCTGCGTCACCATGGCAGAGATTTTTTCATCTCCATTATGAGATGAGTATTTGAATGTCTCCTTCAGAACAGAAGCCTGTAATATCTTTTAACAGATGGTAAATGAAGAACCATATGAGTCCCTGAGATCATAACTAATCCTACCTCTCAATTTCCCTACTTACTTATTTTTTATTTACTTTTTCTAGTTATACATTTTTCTTTGTAAAAACTTTTCCTGAGTGCAAAAGCAATATTTGCTCATTGTAGAAAATTTGGAAAGTACAGCAAATGAAAAAGAAGACATAGGAGAAAGAAGCTGCAAGGCTACTCATAATTCCACCCCCAAAGGCAACTTCTGTTAATGTTGGCGTGTTTCCCTCCACTGTCCTTTACATAGTTGGAATCAAACTGTGTCTACAATTTTATATCCTACTTTCCTCCCTCAATATTACAACAATTTTCCATGTTAGTAAAGTTTTATTAACATCATTTTAATGGTACAGAATCCTTTTTTTTTTTTTTTTTTTTTTTTGAGATAGAGTCTTTCTCGCCCAGGCTGGAGTGCAGTGGCATGATCTCAGCTCACTGCAACCTCCACTTCCCGGGTTCAAATGATTCTCCTGCCTCAGCCTCCCAAATAGCTGGGATTACAGGTGTGTGCCACCGCCACGCCCAGCTAATTTTTGTATTTTTAGTAGAGATGGGGTTTCACCATGTTGGCCAGGCTTGTCTCAAACTCCCGACCTCAGGTGATCTGCCCGCCTTGACTTCCCAAAGTGCTGGGATTACAGGCTAGAATACTTTTATATACTATGCCGCTTCATCATATATGAAATATTTAATATGTTTACCATGTCATAATAATTTACCATTTCCCTACAGTCGTGTGTGTGTGTGTATATATATATAGTTATATATACTTTTAATAATTTTCTCTTCTATAAAATAATGCTGGGACAAATTATATATACAACTCTTAGGGAAATTTATTTCCTTATGGTAGATTCGTAGAAGTGAAATGACTAAGTCAAAAGTTCTCAATAAATTGCTTTCCAAAGAGCAACCTATGGTTTATGCTCCCACTGGCCATGGGTGCAAGTGCCCACCTCACCCCATCCTGTCAGCACTGAGCATCGTGCCGGGCAGACCCTGCAGCTCCAAGTGCAGGCCTGGCCCTTGCGGAGGGAACCTGGGGCAGGGCAGGGAGCTGCCAGAAGCTTCAACTACAACTACAAAGGACCCTTTCTGAGCCTGTTTAAAATTTAATTTTGAAATGTCTGAGTTGAACAGTATCCCAAAGGACCTATGGATGATGCCAACAACAGCACAGCCTCATTTCAATGGCAGTTATCTGGGTGGTCCCAGGCTGAGTTGCTTTGGGCCCTGTCCCCTTCTAGGGATGGCCCTGAGTGTCTCCCAGGAAAGGGATTCTCAGAAGCTCTTCTTGCAAAGTTGCAATGATTTATGCCTCCATTCCTCAAATGAAACCAGCTCTGCCACTTCAAATGTTACCAACCTTGGTCATCGTGAGTGGGTCAGGAATCAGAACACAAACCAAATACACGTGGACTGAACATAAGGGAAGCCATTGGTCTATAAGGCAGCTCGGCACAAAAGTCCAATAGAAAAGCTCCATATGGGATGTAACCATCTGAGAACGTATGAGCACTCACAGAGAAGGAGGGTCTTCGGAACTGCTCTCCATTTGGGATGACAATGAATGGCTGTTCTGTCTTCCCGGGAACTGACCCATGTGGGGGCCCTGAGACCCAGAGTGCCTGAATGTCTACTCCGATGATTTCCAGGAAGCCCTCCTTCTTCTCCTGGCCTTGCAATAATCCCCTATCCCTAAGACAGCATTTCCCAGACTTATTTGGCCATAGGATTGTTTTTATATTTACAATACAACAAGAGCATGTGAACTATAAATGCAAGCTCTACCATATGCATGCTCATGTGAATTTCATTCTTAAAGGCAGGTTATTACATAATAATATGTATATGGATGGCTGGGCATGTTGGCTCATGCCTGTAATCCCAGCACTTTGGGAGACCAAAGAGGGAGGATTGCTTGAGGCCAGGAATTCGAGACCACCCTGGGCAACAAAGTGAGAACCTATCTCTACAAAAAAAAATTTAAATTAGCCAGGCATGGTGGCATGTGCCTGTAGTCCCAGCTATTCGGGAGACTGAGGTGGGAGGTTTGCTTGAGCCTGCTGGGAAGTCGAGGCTGCAGTGAGCCGAGATCATGCCACTGCACTACAGTCTGAGCAACAGAGGAAGACCCTGTCTCCAAAAAATAAAGGGCAGGGGGAGTGGGTGGGCAAAGAACATGAACAACACTTTTCAAAAGAAGGCATACATGCAGCCAACAAACATATGACAAAATGATCAGCATCACTAATCATTAGAGAAATGCTAATCAAAACCACGATGAGATACCATCTCACACCAGTCAGAATGGCTATTATTAAAAAGTGAAAAAAAAAAAAGAAACAGGAGATGCTGGTGAGGTTGCAGAGAAAAAGGAATGCTTACACACTGCTGGAGGGAAGGTAAATTAGTTCAGGCATTGTAGAAAGCAGTGTGGCAATTCCTCAAAGAACGTAAAACGGAGCTACCATTTGACCCAGCAATCTCATTATTGGATATATACCCAAAGGAATATAAATGGTTCTACCACAAAGACACATGCATGCATATGTTCATTGCAGCCTATTCACAATAGCAAAGACATGGAATCAACCTAGATGCCCATCAACGGTAGAATGGATTTTTAAAATGTGGTACGTATACACCATGGAATATTATGCAGCCATAAAAAGAACAACATCATACGGTTTGACATAAAGTTTAAAAAAAAAAAAAGAATGAGAATATGTCCTTTGCAGCAACATAATTGGAGCTGGAGGCTATTATCCTAAGCAAACTAACATAGGAACAGAAAACCAAATACCACATGTTCTCACTATAAGTGGGACCAATGAGAACACATGGACACAAAGAGGGGAACAGTAGACACTGGGGCCCACTTGAGGGTGGAGTTTGGGAGCAGGGAGAGGATCAAAAAACTACCTATCGAGTACTATGCTTATTACCCGGGTAATGAAATAATCTGTACAGCAAACCCCTATGACGTGCAGTTTACCCATATAACAAACCTGCACATGTACCCTGAACCTAAAATAAAAGTTAAAAATACCTGTAATTGATTTTGTTAAATGTCTGTGCTTATTATTCAATTATCCAAAGATATTTTTGCAAAGTTGCAGTTCATGTTCCCAAGACTAATGGCAAAACATGATGTTTGTGTTTTATGAGTCATCAATAAAGATTACAAGCTAACCTGCCACAAAAGTCCTTCTACGGTAAAGGTAGCATAAGTGTTGACAACACCTTCCCTCCTTTTTCCTGGAGCAGCACAAGCTTCTCCACAGCTGCTTTTGGGTGTCATCTCTTGCCCATGGGCTCAGGGAAAGAGACTGCCACCAATGTGCCAGCAGGATGGAAATTTAAAACAGTCTTTCCCTCTGGCCTTCTCTGCTGACTCTAGAGACCCCACTGGGCCTATTTACCACAATCTCGACCCTAAACTGGGCCTGCAGGATTCCATGTTGGAACCCTAAGACTGGCAATGTCATCTCAGGCCACACTGTTGCTCCCCCTTTCTGCCCCATCTCTTTCTCTTTGACACTATTTGTGTAGCTTTCTTTCTTTTTTTTTTTTTTTGAGACGGAGTCTCGCTCTGTCACCCAGGCTGGAGTGCAGTGGTGAAATCTCGGCTGACTGCAAGCTCCGCCTCCCTGGTTCACACCATTCTCCTGCCTCAGCCTACTGAGTAGCTGGGACTACAGGCGCCCGCCACCACACCCGGCTAATTTTTTGTATTTTTAGTAGAGACGTGGTTTCACCATGTTAGCCAGGATGATCTCGATCTCCCGACCTCATGATCCACCTGCCTCGGCCTCCCAAAGTGCTGGGATTACAGGCATGAGCCACCGTGCCTGGCGGTAGCTTGCTTTCTTAATAGATTATAAGTTCCTTGAGGGCAGGAGCTGTACTTTGCTTATCTCTGTGCTTTGCACAATGTAAATTAATATAGTGTAAATAAACAACATATTTAATTTGGGGGGATTAATATTCTGGTTTTAAAGGTAACAGCCCCTAAGTTTAAGCTGAACATCTTACAATCCTAAATGATTGTATAAGGCCTACAGATAAAAACATTTGCTTCCTGCATCAAGAATTAAATGTTTCTAGCAGTTTTCTTTTAGGGTGGTGGGCAGCGGTAGGGAGTTTCCCCCTAAGTACACAATGTTTACAGGCTTCTCTTTGCTCTGTTATTCATAACATGACCTTTACTGGCAGTAAGCACTTGAATAGTAAGACATTTTTTTTTACTTCTTGTACTTTACCCATCATCCAAATCTATGTGTACTGTATCCTTCCTATTTTTGTGGTTTGCAAGAATTTTAGTTCCATATTTTAGAACTGATAGAGTGCTATGCATTAGTTGCAAAGAGCAAATTTGATGTTGAGCTGCATGTTATATCTTCTTAACAAAAATCAGTGCCATTTGGCTTGAATGTCTAGTGAAAATACACTTAAGAGTCACTATGATAAAGTTTAACCTACTAAAACATTCCACATGTTGCCACATGGGTAGTCCCTGATTGGATGATTTTTTTTTTCCCTCTGTTACAGTGTGGAAAGTGGTACAGGTAGCCTCGGTTTCCATCTGACACAGGAAAGAACTAGGACGCAAAGGCTCTGTGACCCCTTTCTGCCTGAAATGTCTCCATCTGCACACATGCCACCATCAGTCAACCTGGACAGGGACAGCCAGTGGTACCAGGTCTCCCAGGCTCCCTGCCTCCCTGCCCACCACTTCTCTGATCTTACCCTACCTCCTACACCCACCCCAGGATCTCCCCATGTCCTAGAATTTTTTGCTTCACTCAAATATTTGGACATTGGATTAAGGACATGAAATTCCATATATCTCACTGAGGCCAACAGTATGTAGTTTTGTCACATAAATTATCACAGAAACAAGATAAATTCAGAAAGCTTAACAATAGCCATTTTCAGTAAAATCATATCACATGTACAGCCCACAGAAATAGTGCTATTGTATTACAGATTTGTAGTGTTCTGTCAGTAACTCTCATTTCTGTGACATTAATATGAGAAGGACCTGGGAAAATTCTCAAGACTGGTAAATATATTTGTAACCCAATGGGGTTTTTAATTTAACTTCATGATATCAAGTAACAGGAAAAGAACTGAAACTCTAACAAAAGCTTCGTGGAAAAGCTTTCATCTAACACCTTTTTCTACATAGAGACTGAAATGAACAGACCATACTTGAATATTAAGATGCAATTACATTACATCTACATGTAATTAGAGATACATTTTTTAGCTGGTATTGTAACAGAATCCTAGGCTTGGAAAAAACTTTAGAAACCAGAAATAACCTCCTACTACTGCAGGAATCCTTCTTCAATACCAAAGACAGACACAGTCATTCAGCCTTTGCATATTTTGAGATAAAGCAATCTTTGTTTTGTGGAACGCCCTTCTGAATATTAGACAGTTCTAGCTCTTAGAAGCTTATTTCTGATAGTCAGAATTTGCCTCACTGAAATTTCCAACCATCAGTCAAGGGGCTGTTTGAAATAAGGGGAAGAATATAGGCTTTTGAGCCAGACAGAATTGGATTTGAATCCAGGGTTTATCGTGTACTAGATATATAGCTTTGTCTCTAAGCTTCAGATTTCTGATGTATAAAATGCTGTTGGTGATGAGGATTAGAGATACCATTCATTAAGTGCCTGGAATATGGGAGAGACTCACTTGATGGCTGCCATTATTACCAGTAGCTGTCCTAGCTTTGGCTCTCTGACACAGCCAAAGTGGCCTAGGGACATTTTTCCTTTGCCAGGAGAAAATGGCTTCCAGACCTCTGTAGCATCTTAGCAGTTTTTCTTTCTCTTTCTCTTCCTTTCTTTTTTTTTCTTTCTTTCCTTTTCTTTTCTTTTTCCTTCCTTCCTTTCTTCCTTTCTTTCTTTTCTTTCTTTCTTTTTCTCTCTTACTTTCTCTCTCCCTTTCTCTCTTTCTCACAAAGTCTTGCTCTGTTGCTCAGGCTGGAGTGCAGTGGTATGATCACAGCTCACTATAGCCTTAAACTCCTGGGCTCAAGTGACCCTCCAACCTCAGCCTCCTGAGTAGCTGGGACTACAGGTGTGTGCTACCAGGCTCAGCTAATTTCTTTTTATTTTTTGCCGAGACACAGTTTCACTATGTTGCCCAGGTTGGTCTCGAACTCCGGGGCTCAAGCGATCCTCATGCCTCGGCCTCCCAAAGTGCTGGGATTACAAGTGTAAGCCACCGTGCTCAGCTCACCTCCACTGGTTTCTTAAAGAAAGCATCCCTCCTGTACATGAGCTCCTTCAGATATGAACATTTAAAAGAAGGCAGATGATTAATAAATACGTGCTGAAGGGACTACCTCTAGAATATCACAGGTAGTTGCTAAATATGAAACATTCACAGGTGTTCACCATCTGCTCCGCCACCCAGGCACCCTAGTGAGGACCAGCTGTTGCACCTGCACATCCTGCTCCAGCTTGATCTTGATCATGTTGTATTCTTCGCAATCCCAGATCCTCTGCCTGTTCAGCTGCTTCTCATAGTCCTCTACTTTCTTCATGCGGTTGTTAAGATACTCCAGCTAAAGGCACAGGAAGACAAGGGAAAAGTTAGGGACCATCCTTGCCCCACCTCAATCCTTCGGATGGCCTGCCCAGCATGACACAGGGGAGAGTTTGGAAGTTTCATGGCTCCACAGGGAGTCTGGTGGCTTTCAGAAGTCCTGAATACCCAAGGCTTTTAGGACTTGGCTTGTATTGCCTAATGCGGTCATTACTCCAGAAACTCTAAGAGGAATGCTCCATTATGAAATTAAGCTCATCTCCTTGAAGTCTAAATATTTGAAAAAAAAAAGAAAAGAAATTACGCACAGACCCTGAAATCAGATGTTTATATTTCTAAAAAGTCTATTGGATCTTGGTCAAGTCACTTATTTGTTCTTCACAACTCTGAAATAAAGTGATAATCCCACACCCTTTAAAAAGGTGTCTTAAAACACCTTGGGCCATGAATATTCACAGCTGGGTGAGATACCCAGTAAACAGAGGGGAAAGTGACGGGCCCACGGAAAACACAGCAAGCTGCCCGGGTGGTACTCACCACCACCCAAGAGACAATCCCCATCTGCAAGGCCACACGGATTAGCTAGGAAATGCAGTAATGAACGCAGTAGCATTCAGCCACAGCAATTCTACTTAAGATACAAAAAGGCGGCCGGGCGCGGAGGCTCACGCCTGTAATCCCAGCACTTTGGAAGGCCGAGACGAGAGGATCATGAGGTCAGGAGATCGAGACCATCCTGGTCAACATGGTGAAACCCCGTCTCTACTAAAAATACAGAAATTAGCATGGTGGTGTGTGCCTGTAATCCCAGCTATTCGGGAGGCTGAGGCAGGAGAATCACTTGAACCAGACAGTCAGAGGTTGCAGTGAGCCGAGATTGCTCCACAGCATTCCAACCTGGTGACAGAAGCAAGATTCCATCTCAAAAAAAAAAAAAAAAAAAAGATAGAAAAAGGCTAGCTAGCAAATTCAGTCACAATAAAAATCACCCAGACCCCACGGATCACTCTTGACAGGCTCCACCCTTTACCTCTTTGGCATTATGAGCCTGAAGGGCTTGCTCCCATTTCTTCTTATTACTGGCCAGTAGCTCTTGGCGTTCCACCTCAAATGCTTTCTACGACCAAGAAGGAAAAACACTCTTGCATCTGTTTTGATTGGGCAGGTCCCACCAGTGTCAAAGAACTTTCAGGTAACTATAAGTGCCATATCACCAACCACATAGAAAAAGTCAAATCCAAATTCAGACCTGCCAAGTTTCATAAGACCAAATGGCTATGGAAGGAGCTGCATGGAAATTAGCATTATGAAGACGATACTCCAAATGCGGAGAGGAGATGTGCCAACAGTCCCGTGGCTTAGTCAATATCAGAGGCAGGGAACTGGAGGAAGGCCAGTGCCCCTGTTGGCAGTCACACGGCAGGCCATGGTGTGTAATTCAACTGTGACTACCACTGATGCGTTCGTTGCCATGGTTGGGGATCCCATGAAGCAAAGGCAGCATGAAACTCACAAGGGGTAGGTTTAGGAATGCAGAAATGAGTCTCTAACAACCGAGAGAGAGAGAGGCCTCCACCTTCTTGGCTCTCTTCCATCTTGGAAAGGGCTAAATCTCAATCTCAATCTTGAACATTTCATTCAAATTCAAAATACTGATTCCTGAATCCTATGCAGCACTCCCCTTTGCCACTGTCTGCCCCAATTGCCTTAAAGAAACAAGTAAATGCCTCACACAGGCTTTATGCTTATGGAGTGCTAATCCCCCTTTTTTATTCCCCAACCTCTTGCTCGTCTTATTTTCCTTCAAAACACTTATTACCACCTGTAAAATAATATATTTAGTAACTTGTTTATTGTCTAGCTGCTTCCTACTAGCATACAGTTTCCACCAGGAACTTTGTTTTGTTCACAGCTGCACCCCCAGGCCCCTGGAACAGTGCCCAGCATATAGTAGACACTTGATATGTACTTGTCATATGAATGAATGAGTAAATAAATTAATAAAACCTGAGAGCAGAAACAGAAATCAGCGGACAGAGAAGTCATGTAGGGCCCTCCTTAGATTATTAGGACAGACCTAGACCTCCTCCCAGGGGCCCTCCAAGAGCAGAAACCAGGTCTTTTCACACCCTGTTACCTCAATGTTATAGAGCTCCTCACGAAAGGTTTTCATCACATTCTTCACCTGTTCTTCCATCCGCTCCAGAAGCAGGCAGATGTCATCTGACTGTTTCTTCAAATCCTTCACATACTGGTCATCCTTTGTTTTTAACTCCTAGAAAAGAGCATGTAAAAGTCTGGCCACAAACTGTGTCAGGAGCAGAAGGTGCCAAACACTCTCTCTAGACTCCTCTCACCAGAATCTGTCAATGTTAGGACATGAAACTGTACAAAGAGGGCTGCGCACAGTGGCTCACACCTATAATCTCAGCACTTTGGGAGGCTGAGGCAGGTGCTTCAGCTCAGGAGACCAGCCCGGGTAGTATGGCAAAACTCTGTCTCTACAAAAAAATATAAAAATTAGCCAGATGTGGTGGTGCACGCCTGTGGTCCCAGCTACTTGGGAGGCTGAGGTGGGAGGATCGCTTGAGCCCAGAAGGTCAAGGCTACAGTGAGCCATGATTGCACCACTGCACACCAGCCTGGGAGATGGAGCAAGATCCTGTCTCAATAATAATAATAATAATAATAATAATAATAATAATAATAATAATAATCATCTGTACAAAGAGAAAGTGGTTTCAGAAGAGTCTTAGAAGGCCTGAGATAAAGCATAGTAGATGGAGTGGAATGGACTCTGCTCAGGGCAAAGCTCTTAACAAGCACCCAGGACCAAACCCCTCAATGTTATCACCTGCTGCAAATCTCCCTGCAAGCTCCCAGAAAGCCTAGAGTGTCCTAGCTGAGCAATTAATGTCCAGGTTCCAACACGAGAACATATCTACTGCAGACTAAGTTGCATTCCTTAACTAAGGACTAAACTCTGGAACAGCATTTGCTGTAAAAATACTACGGTCATGTGCTGCATAGCAACATTTCAGTCCATGATGGACCACATATACGACAGTGGTCCCATAGGATTATAATACGGTATTTTTTTTTTTTGAGACAGAGTCTTGCTCTGTTGCCCAGGCTGGAGTGTAGTGGCTCGATCTCGGCCCACTGCAAGCTCCACCTCCCGGGTTCACGCCATTTTCCTGCCCCAGCCTCCCGGGTAGCTGGGACTACAGGCGCCCATCACTATGCCTGGCTAATTTTTTGTATTTTTAGTAGAGACAGGGTTTCACCGTGTTAGCCAGGATGGTCTCGATATCCTGACCTCGTGATCCACCTGCCTCGGCCTCCCAAAGTGCTGGGATTACAGGCGTGAGCCACCGTGCCCGGCCATAATATGGTATTTTTACTGTGCCTTTTCTGTTTAGATACACAAATACTTAGCACTGCGTTACAACTGCTTACAGTATTCAGTACAGTAGCATTCCGGACAGGTTTGTAGCCTAGGAGCAATTAGTTATATCATATACCCTAGGTGTGTAGTAGGTTATACCATCTAGGTTTGTGTAAGCACATGTTATGATGTTCTCACAACAATGAAATCACCTAACAATGCATTTCTCAGAATATATCCCCATCATTAAGTGATGCATGACTGTATTTCTATTAGATAGCTAATAATTCTACAATTATGACAAAGCTTTTACTTCTAGTTAAAAGTTTATCCCTTGAAAAGACATCAAAATTGGAAGAGTTAAAATTATCTTTGTTCACAGA
This sequence comes from Homo sapiens, assembly GCF_000001405.40. Classification (NCBI taxonomy): domain Eukaryota; kingdom Metazoa; phylum Chordata; class Mammalia; order Primates; family Hominidae; genus Homo; species Homo sapiens. Next base: position 26,428,131 of record NC_000002.12, on the reverse strand, counting down.
TGACATGATCTTATATGCAGAAAAACTAAAGATTTCACACACAGGAAAACCTGTTAGAACTTAAATTCAGCAAAGTTGCAGGACACAAAATCAAAATTCAAAAATCACACTATTCACAATAGCCAAGAATTGGAATCAACCTAAGTGTCCATCAGCAGATGAATGGATAAAGCAAATGTGGTACCTATACACAAGGGAGTACTATTCAGCCATAAAAGAGAATGAGATCCTGTCATTTGCAACGACGTGGATGGAATTGAAAGGCATTACGTTAAATGAAATAAGCCAGGCACAAAAATTCAAACTTTGCATGTTCTCACTCATTTGTGGGAGCTAAAAATTAAAACAATTGAACTCGTGGAGATAGAAAGTAGAATGATAGTTAGCAGAGACTGAGAAGGGTAGTGTGGAGGGTCAGGGAGGAATGGGGATGGTTAATAGGCACAAAAATATAGTTAGAATGAATAAGATCTAGTATTTGACAGCATAACAGCGTGACTAAGGTCAGCTAGATTTATTGTACATTTTAAAATAACTAAAAGAGTATAACTGGAATGTTTGCAACACAAAGAAATGATACATGCTTGAAGTGATGGATACCCCATTTACCCCAATGTGATTATCACACATTGTATGGCTGTATCAAAATATCTTATATACCCCATAAATATATACACCTACCCATAAAATTTTTTAATTTTAAATTTAAAAAAAAAGCTCAGGTGCGGTGGCTCACAACTGTAATCCCAACACTTTGGAAGGTGGAGGTGGGTGGGTAATTTGAGGTCAGGAGTTTGAGACCAGACTTGGCAACGTGGTGAAATCCCATCTCTACTAAAAACACAAAAATTAGCTGGGCATGGTGATGTGCGCTTTAATCCCAGCTACTTGGGAGGCTGAGGCAGGAGGATCACTTGAGCCCAGGAGGTGGAGGTTGCAGTGAGCCAAGATCAGTCTACTGCACTCCAGCCTGGGTGACAGAGCGAGACTCTGTCTCAAAAAAATTAAATTAAATTAAATGTTTAAAAAATTTTAAATCAGTTGCATTCTTATATGCAAATAATGACCAATCCAAAATAGAAATTAAGAAAATAATCCATTTACTATAGCACCAAAAAGAATGAAATACTTAGGAATAAACTTAACAAAGTAGGCAAAAGCCTTGTACACTGAAAACTGTAAAACATTACTAAAAGAAATCAGAGAAGATATAAACAAATGGAAGATATCCTGTGCTTATGAACTGGATGACTCAATATTGTTAAAAATGTCCATACTATACAAAGTGATCTATAGATTCAGTGCAGTCCTTAACAAAATCCCAACATCATTTTTTGTGGAAATAGGAAAACCATCCTAAAATTTGTAAAATTCAGAATCTCAAGAGACTCCAAATTGCCAAAATAGTCTTGAGAAAAGAACAAAGTTGGAGGCCCCACATTTCCTGGTTTCAAAACATACTACAGGCTGGGCGCAGTGGCTCCTATCTGTAATCCCAGCATTTTGGGAGGCTGAGGTAGGTGGGTCACCTGAGGTCAGGAGTTCGAGACTAGCCTGGCCAAAATTGTGAAACTCCATCTCTACTAAAAATGCAAAAATTAGCCAGGCATGGTGGTGCATGCCTGTAGTCTCAGCTTCTCGGGAGGCTGAGGCAGAAGAATTGCTCTAACCCTAGAGACGGAGGTTGCAGTGAGCCGAGATCAAACCACTGCACTCCAGCCTGGGCGACAGAGCAAGACTCAGTCTCAAAAAAAAAAAAAATAAACAAAAACAAAACTGCAAAGAGCAACAGGAATTAAAGAATGTTGTACTGACATAAAAATAGATATATAGACCAAGGGAACTAGAGAGCCCAGAAATAAACCCCTACATATATGACCAAATGGCTTTGACAAGGGTCAAAATGATAAATGAATGATACATAAACCCCTGCATCTATGGTCAAATGACTTTTGACAAGACTATACAGTGGAGAAAGGATAGTCTCTTCAACAAATGATGTTGAGAAAACTGGATATTCACAGGCAAAAGAATGAAGTTGGGTCCTTACCTTATACCATATACAAAAATAACTCAAAATCGATTAAAGACCTAAAACTATTAAACTCCTAGAAGAAAATATAGAGGACAAGCTTTCTGCACATTGGATTTGGCCATAATTTCTTGGATATCACACCAAAATCCCAGGCAGCAAAATCAAAAATAGACAAACGGGGCTGCACCAAACTCAAAAATGTTTGCACATCAAAAAAAAAATCAAGACTAAGAAGGCAATATACGGAATAGGAAATCATAATTGAAAATCATATATCTGATAAGGGGTTAATGTCCAAAATACATAAAGAACTTCTATAACTCAAAAACAACCCAATTTAAAAATAAGCAAAGGATTTAAATAGACATTTCTCCAAAGATGATATACAAGTGACCAATAAACACATGAAAAACATGCACAACATCTCTAATCGTTACGGAAATGCAAATCCAAACCATAATGAGATATCGCCTCACACCATCAACACGGAAGCTATCAAAAAAACAGGATGTAAGTGTTAGTGAGAATACAGAGAAGTTAGAACCCTTGTGTACTGTTGGTGGGAATGTAAAATGGTGCAATCATTATAAAAAACAGTATGGAGGTTCCTAAGAAAATTAAAAATAGAATTACCATATGACCCAGCCATCCTGCTTTTAAGTATACATCCAAATAATTCAAAGAAGTATCTCAAAGAGATACGTGTATACCCATGTTCATAGCAGCATTACTCACAAAAGCCAAAACGTGAAATCCAACCCAAATGTCCATTCACAGGAGAATGTATAAAACAAGATGTGGTATATATATGCAATGAAATACTACGCAGCCTTAAAAAGGAAGGCAGTCCTGTCACGTGCTACAACGAAGTCCATCTATACTAAGCCAAATATGCTAGTCACAAAAGGACAAATGCTGTATGATTTCACTCACAGGAAGTATCTAATAGAGTAGTCAAAATCACAGAAACAGAAAGTAGAAAGGTGATTACCAAGGTCTAGGGGGAAGTGGAAGAGGGAATTGGTGTCTAAGGGGCATAGAATTTCCATGCTGCAAGATGAAAAAGTTCTTAGAGATCTATTGCATCTGAATGCTGTATACTTAACATGACTGAACTATACAGTTTTTTGGTTTTTGTTTTGAGACAGAGTCTCACTCCCTCTGTCACCCAGGCTGGAGTGCAGTGGTGCGATCTCGGCTCACTGCAACCTTTGTCTCCCATGTTAAGGCGACCCTCCTGCCTCAGCCTCCTGAGTAGCTGAGATTACAGGTATGTGCCACCATGCCCGGCTAATTTTTATATTTTTAGTAGAGATGGGGTTTCACCATGTTGGCCAGGCTGGTCTCAAACTCCTGACCTCAAGTTATCCGCCTGCCTCGGCCTCCCAGAATGCTGGGATTATGGGAGTGAACCACCTCATCCAGCCCATGAACTATACACTTTAAAATGGTTATGATGGCAAATTTAATGCTATGTGTTTCTTACCATCATGGAAAAAAGTTTATAACATGACTTGTACAGCATTCTAAATAATGAAGTAAAAGGTTTCTACATTTTTCCATTCAGGAAAAGCAAACCAGTAACCCAGCTAAATCCCAGGCAGATCCCCTGTGGCTGGGCTGGAGGGCCCGGGCCTCTTGCCTGCTGTAACTCGCTGATGAGTTTATTCTTATCTTCTAAGAGTCCAGCACAGTGCAGCTGTTGGGTATTGAGCATTTCCCACAGCTCTTGGGGAATTCTCTTCTGCTTGCCCTCTTCCCACTTTGAGGTGATTTCATCGAATTTGTCCTGGCTGGTCTTAACTTCATTCTCCAGCTTCTCAATCCTGCAAATACATACATGCCAGCCATGCCAACCCAGCTCCAGATGCTGCCTTCCAGTAGAGCAGGTACGTTCTCTAGAATCTCTAGAATATAAGACCCAGGTACTAGGCACTGCCCAAACACACCCGCCCAAAATCAAACTCAATGCTGAGAAATCTTTTCGTTTAACGCTTGACTGTAAATAACTTAGGCCAAGTAAAGAAAATGACACATAGCAAAAACAGATCAACATTAAGGCTACACACACACACACATACACACGCGTGCACACGCACACACACCAAGATCGATTGGTCACCTGCTTCTGAGTAAGATGATAACACACAACAGTTAAACACTGGGTCTCTGGAGTCACAGAGCTTATGTTCAAGTCCTGACTTGGCTCCTAACTGACTGTCAACCTTTCGGACAAGTTGCATAACTCCCTCAAGCCTCACTTTTCTCTTCTGTAAAATGGCGTGGATGAAAAGTATCTACCTTCAAGTGGCTGGCTGTTGTCAGGATGAAATAAGATGCTGCACACAGCACAGGTGCTCAGCATGGGAGTCACTTAACACATGGTGCTTAAATTATCAATTTTATATTAGCAACATGACCTCAAGTGTCTGGCTACTCCTCTCCCAAGTTACCAATAAATGACTAGTGGAATGTACAAATATGGAAACTCCACCAATGAGTGATGGAAAATAGGGACAGCCTTTCCATAAATTCCAAAGAACCTCCGTGATAGAGCACACCGAGGCTGGGGCGAGGTGGCAGGAAGGCAGGAGAGCTGAGCTGGGGCCCCTCTGGGAACAGTGGCTAAGATATCTGCCAGAGACTCTCTGCTCCTTGTAACAGACTAATCCTATGAGAGCACCTCCAAACAAACCCCCTGAGGAACCGAAGTCACAGCTTAAACATCCTGCAATCCCCTCTTCCTGTCCCATCCCCCACCCACCCCACCTTCCAAGCTAGGACACTTTTTTAATTTAATTGACTTTTTTATTTCAAGAAATGAGAAAGAGCTGTCAGGTCATCTTTCCGCAGCACACTGACCTTGTAACCTGCCACCTGGGACCTTCAGCATTCCTCTGTGGCTAGAGGACAAGGCCTAACTCCTTGCATGACCTTCCCTGCCTTTCACAAGCTGACCCTGCTGGGAATCTGCCGACTCCATTCCTGGCACAGCCCATACAGGCAGTGGGAAGTTTCGAGAATAAAAGTCACCCACGTTTACTGGTAGGGCTGCTAAAGTTGCTAAAGAGGGAACTGCTTATGCTGAACAACTAAAAATATTGTTAAAATCGACCCCTGTGTGTATATGATGAGACAAAATGGTCAAGTGGTTGCCTTTTTTTTTTTTTTTTTTAAAGACTAGGTTTCACTCCCATTGCCTAGGCTGGAGTCCAGTGGCACACTCTTGGCTCACTACAACGTCCACCTCCTGGGCTCAAGTGATCCTCCTGCCTCGGCCTCCTGAGTACTGGGACTACAGGTGTGCACGCGCCACCACACCCAGCTAATTTTTTGTGTTCTTAGTAGAGACGGAGTTTCACCATGTTGGCCAAGCTGGTCTTGAACTCCTGACCTCAAGCAATCCGCCTTCCTCGGCCTCCCAAAGTGCTGGGATTACATGCGTGGGCCACCCCGTGCCTGGCCAAGTGGTTGTTCTTCTAATTGTTTAAGAAATTAATTGAAGAACAATCCAAAGCTTAAATGAGGACCTGCTATCAGTCTACTTCTGTGTGCAAACCAAAGAAGTTTAATTCTTCTAAGCCGCTTATGCCTCCCTGCTGGACAGCCTGAGACCTGGGACATGGGCGTGCAGGGCAGCCTGCCTCCTGAGGACTGGAGCTGAGGACTTGACGCAGGTTCTTGTGATCCCTGTGAACCTCCATCCTTCTATGCATGGAGCCCTCAATATTCTTTAATAATGCTGCCACCTTTACACATAACACTGAGGTATTCGTGGGTCTGGTCATTCTCACCAATTGAAACCCAGGACTGCCCAGTTGACCTTCTTAGCCTCTTCTCTTTTCTTCCATTACCCGCATACATCCTTCGCTATCATGCCATTCCCAAGCACATCATGTGATCTCACACCTCTGCTCAAGTGTTCCCTCTGCCTAAAATGCCTACTCTTCAATTCCTCAAATTCCTATTCATCCCTCACAGCCCAGCTCAACGTCACCTTGCCTGGGAAGTTTTCTGTAATCTCTGCAGATAGAATTAAAGGCCTCCTTGTGTGTGTTACTACAACCCTTTACACATTATCTATTTTACCACGAATTATGGGTGTTTCCATGTGTCTCTTGACTAGACTGTGAATACCACAAACAGAGGCCGTGTTTCACTCCTTTTGTATACACACAGCTTGGCACGTATCAGCAATGTAGTGCTTGAGGAGGGGAGGAAAGAAAAGAGATGAGATAGCCGGGCGCGGTGGCTCACGCCTGTAATTCCAACACTTTGGGAGGCCAAGGCGGGTGGATCACGTGAGGTCAGTAGTTCGAGACCAGCCTGGCCAACATGGTGAAACCCCGTCTCTACTAAAAATACAAAATTAGCCTGGCTTGGTGGCGCATGCCTGTAATCCCAGCTACTCAGGAGGCTGAGGCAGGAGAATCACTTGAACCTGGGAGGTGGAGGTTGCGGTGAGCCGAGATCACGTCATTGCACTCCAGCCTGGGCAACAAGAGCGAAACTCTGTCTCAAAAAAAAAAAAAAAAAAAAGAGAGAGAAAGAAGAGGAGGGAGGGAGGGAGAAGTTATAAGGGCAGGAAGGGAATTGTCTAAGGTGGACAAAGTCACCCTCCAACAATTCGGGAGAACTGCCGGACCCATGGAGATTACCTTCATGTCCACCAGCTGCAGAGTAGCACAGTCCTTACCTTTGACGCTTTATCTCCTCTTCTTCGACTCTCCTGTGAATCTCTCTGATATCTATAGCCACCTGGATATTTGTCACCAACTCGGTGCCACAGAGCAGAAGTTTAGCCAATTTCTAAAAAGAGAGATATAAGAATTTACAAAGCTAGAACACTTTGTAAATAATATATAAAGTCTGAAACATTTTTGCACAACTGTCCGCAGCTTCTATCCATTCAAGCAGGAAGCAGCAACTACCTTAAGATTTTTAAGAGTAGCCTCTGTGTAGCAACCCTTTTCTATCAGGACATTTGTGATGTGATTTTACAGCTCACAATTTAAAAGCACTCTGCAGTTCTTGGCCAGGCACAGTGGCTCATGCCTGTAGTCCCAGCACTTTGGGAGGCCAAGGTGGGTGGAGCATTTGAGGTCAGGAGTTCGAGACCAGCTTGGCCAACATGGTGAAACCCCATCTCTACTAAAAATTCAAAAATTAGCCAGGCATGGTGGCGGGTGCCTGTAATCCCAGCTACTCAGCAGGCTGAGGCAGGAGAATCATTTGAACCTGGGAGGCAGAAGTTACAGTGAGCCAAGGTCACGCCGCTACACTCCAGCCTGAGCAACAAAGTGAGACCCTATCTCAGAAAAAAAAAAAAAGAAGAAGAAAAAGAAAGAAAAAAGAAAAAGAGAAAGAAAAGTCCAGTATCCAGTCATAATATGATGAGGCCTGGAGAAAAGCCACTGCGTTTGGCTAGAAGGGCATCATTAGTATCCTACTGTGGTAAGTTTTTGTCCAATCCTGGGCAAAATAAAAAATTTTAAAAAAAGCACTCTGCAGTTCTCAATGTACTTTATTTATTCACTGTAGAGAAGGCACCAGCCAACTTTTATACCAGCAGATATTGTACATTCATCTCAGCCTTGTCCCCAGCAGATCTCCAAGTGACTGACACTGCCGGGAGCCTTTCGAAGAACCTCAGTTGGGGAGGTGAGGCAGGTAATGACAGTGAGGCAGATAATGACAGTGAGGCAGATAATGACAGTGAGGCAGGTAATGACAGCTGTGCTCCCATGTCCATTTCTCCCTCTCCTTTTAGTAACAGAACACTCAAATTTTTGCTGGGATGTGGCTTCCCAAAATAGGTACCTTTCCCAGCCTCCCTTGCACCTAGAATACTATCTGATCAGTGACACAGGAGAAGTAATGTGTGCCACTTCTGAATTGTGACTTTAAGGGGAAAAGGTGTACCCTCTGCTGCCCCACTTCTGCCCCTTCTCCCAGGCTGGCATGTGGGGCTCAAGTAAAAGGTGATGAGCAGATAAAGGCAACTCAAGCAATGGCAGAGGGAGCTGAGGTCCCATCATCAAGCAGACCCCATCCATGTGAGCCCTGGACTACTTATACTCGGAACTGTTGAGACAGAGAAACAAGCTTCTGTCCTGCTGCAGCTAATGATATGTGGAGTCTTTCATTACATGGATTCTAAGGCAGGAAAAGATTGTAGCTGGCTGCACTGCTGTCTCCTTAATGGGCTCAGGGATTTTGTAATTGGTGCCATCCTTCTAAATCCCTCTTCGTAAATTCCATCTCCAGTATCTTCACTCCTAGCCTTGTTGTGATGTTATTCAAGATGATAAATCCTCTCAACAAAAAGTTCGAGTATCCTTAGGTTATGCCTAAGTTTTTTCAAGTCTTTTTGGAACTTATGAACTCTCCAACTCTCAAATAATTTTTAAACTAGGAACCTATAAAACTTCTACACCAAGGAGTCACAGAAATGACCAGAGACTTCACTTGATCTCACTATTATATGAAAAATTTGAAATGTAGTTTCATTGAATACAGAACAGAGCTTTAACCCAGATATCCAGGGCACTCTAGATTTTTTGTTAATGCCTGCAGTTTTATCACTTGTACAAAATGGTTTTACGTGCATAAGGAAGTAATGGCTTTCCTGCAGTTTGGGGTTATTTTCTAGTTTCTACTCAATGTGAACATCAGAGAGTTCTGTATAAGTACCATGTGCTAACCAATTACTGGAGTTCCAGAAATTTCTGAATCAAGTATTTAAGACTCAAAGTAAAATTAAAAATCCAAATGTCAGCCACCAACAGACCAAAATGCCCCTCACCTTTATGAGATCCAGGGAAAGCATTTAAATGGAGGTCCACATACCATATGTCTAAATATTTTTAAATTATAGTATCATGTAAAAATTGTTAAATAAAACATTCAGCCGGGCATGGTGGCTCACACCTGTAATCCCAGCAATTTGGGAGGCCAACACGGGCGGTTCACCTGAGGCCAGGAGTTCAAGACCAGCCTGAACAACATGGTGAAACCCCGTCTCTACTAAAAATATAAAACTTAGCCAGGCATGGTGGTGCACACCTATAGTCCCAGCTACTTGGGAGGCTGAGGCAGGGGAATCGCGTGAACCCAGGAGGTGGAGGTTGCAGTGAGCTGAGATCATGCAACTGTACTCCAGCCTAGGTGACAGAGTGAGACTCTGTCTCAAAATATATATATAATATAATATATATAATATATAATGTTGTATATATAATATATAATATGCTTTATATATACTATATATTATATATACTATACAATATATTATAATGTATATATGTATAAATATATAAATTATACATAATATATAAAAATATAATTTATATTATATATAAATTAAATATAATTTATATATTATATAAATTAAATATAATTTATATATAATATAAATTATATTTAATTTATATAATATATAATTTATATATTATATAAATTATATATAATTTATATTATATATAATTTATATATTATATAAATTATATATAATTTATATATAATATATATTATATATAAATTATATATAATTTATAATATATTGTATATTATTAATATATAATATATATTTAAACTATATTTTATATATATCCTCCTATCACAATACCTTTATGACAATTTAAAAGTCCTAGTTTGAATTCAGACACACCTCAGAGTTCTACTGATAACTGGGTGGCTAAGGAAGAGCCTGCCTCTGGCCACAGCTCCCAGCCCACCCCCAGCTCTGTCCTGCAGGCATGCGGATTTCCCCAACTGCACATCCAAGCTCCATCTATACCCTGTGGCCATCTGTTAGCCCCAGGGGTTGCATAACATTGGCCTCATCTGCCCTGAGCAGGACAGACTCCGGGAAGAGGCACATATAGGTTGAAGGTGGGCTCAAAGTCATTTGGACGGGGAATTTTGGCTCCCATCGGACTCAGTAATCTAGAGGGGACAATGGGGGTTTGAAGGGACATGGGACAAGTCTACTTGAGGGGATGTATCCGCAGGAAATCCAGAGCAGAACCTGGACCCCCATCGTCACCAATTTTTTAATGAGCTGGAGCTCATTAAATGAGCTGGAGCATCCAACTAATGCAATAAGGGAAGAAAAAAATAGAAGATATAAAATTAGACAGGAAGAAATAAAACTCATTATTTTCAGATGATATGATTATAGACGTAAAAAAATATTCAAAAGAAGCCACAGGTAACTATTAGAATTAACAAGTGAATTTGGCAAGGTCACCAGATACCAAGTCAATGTATTAAAATCAACTGTACATTTATATACCACCACGAACCATTATAACCTGAACAAAAAGTACAAAACATTGCTGAGCCAAATTAAAGAATACCTCCCATGGATTATAAATTCTATTCAATCAATTGAAATTCCAGCAGGTTTTTAGGTAGAAATTGACAAGCTGATTCTAAAATGTATATGTCAAGAATAGCCAAGACAAGGCTGGGCGCAGTGGCTCATGCCTGTAATCCCAGCACTTTGGGAAGCTGAGGCAGGAGGATTACCTGAGGCCAAGAGTTGGAGACCAGCCTGGCCAACATGGTGAAATCCCGTCTCCGGTAAGAATACAAAAATTAGCTAGGTATGGTGGCACATGCCTGTAATCTCAGCTACTCAGAAGGCTGAGGCATGAGAATGACTTGAACCCAGGAGGCGGCGGTTGCAGTGAGCCAAGATTGTGCCACTGCACCCCAGCCTGGATGACAGAACGAGGCTGTTTCGGAAGAAAAAAAAAAAAAAAAGAATAGCCAAGTAGCCAAGACAATCCGGAAGAACACAGTTAGAGAACTTACCTTACCAGACATCAAGAACTGTCATAAAGCTACAGTAATTAAAACTGAGTGGAATTGGCACAGAGCTGGTGATATAGTTTGGATATAGTTTCGATCTTTTGTCCCTGCCCAAATCTTATGTTGAATTTTAATCCCCAGAGTTGGAGGTGGAGCCTGGTGGGAAATGATTGGATCATGGGGGTGGATTCCTCATAGTTTAGCACCATCCTCTTGGTGGTGTTCTCATGATAGTGAGTGAGTTCTCGTGAGATCTGGCTGTTGTAAAGTGTGTGGCACCTCCTTGCACTCTCTCTCTCACTCCTGCTCCTGCCATGTGAGATGCCTGCTTCCCCTTTGCCTTCTGCCATGATTAGAAGCTTCCTGAGGCCTCCTCAGAAGCAGAAGTCACTATGCTTCTTGTACAGCCTGCAGAACCATGAGCCAATTAAACCTCCTTATAAATTATCCAGTCTCAAGTATTTCTTTATAGCAATGTGAGAATGAACTAATACAGACAGACATATAGATACCAAAAAAGAGAATGGAGAATGTAGAAACGAACTCACACATACATGGTCACCTGATTCACAACAAAGGTGCACAACAATGCAGTGGGGAAAGGATGATCTTTTCAGTAAACGGTGCTGGGTCAACTAAAAATCTACATAGAAAACAATGAACCTGGAACCCTACCCTTACACGACAGACAGAAATCAATTCCAGATAGGTCATAGGCCAAAATGTAAATGATAGAATTATAAAGCTTCTAGAAGAAACGATAGAAGACTATCTTCATAAATATGAAGTAGACAAAGGTTAAACAGGACACAAAAATAATGACCACTAAAAACATGGTAAGGCCGGGCACGGTGGCTCACGCTTGTAATCCCAGCACTTTGGGAGGCTGAGGCAGGCAGATCACTGGGTCAAGAGATCAAGACCATCCTGGCCAACATGGGGAAAACCCTGTCTCTACTAAAAATATTGCACCACTGCACTCCAGCCTGGTGACAGAGCAAGACTCCGTCTCAAAAAAGAAAAAAAATGAAAAACTGCAGGGTCAAGGGTGGGGACCAGCCTGCCCAGATCTTAGGTCAGAACTAATAATCAATGCCTTAATCTTGAGGAAGGGAGCATTTTTGTGTACATTTCTCCTTGATGCCAAGGCTCTTCACTACTTAATTCCTAAGTGAAAGGAACCTTCAAAACCTGCTAATGAAAACAATATTATCTCTTTGGTTTTATACCTAACTAAGGAGTGCTCGGGGTGAACTGTATATCAGCATTTTAAAAAATCTAATATCCTTTTGTCCTACACAGAAATGCTCAGAGATCACTGACTTTTTTTTTTTTTTTTTTTTTGAAAGAGAAAGAGTCTCCCTCTGTCACCCAGGCTAGAGTGCAGTGGCCTGATCTCAGATCACTGCAACCTCCACCTCGTGGGTTCAAGGAATCCTCCTGCCTCAGCCTCCTAAGTAGGGGGGACCCCAGGCGTGTGCCACCAGGCCCAGCCAACTTCTGTATTTTTAGTAGAGACGAGGTTTCACCATGTTGGCCAGGCTGGTCTTGAACTCCTGACCTCAGGTGATCCGCTCGCCTCGGCCTCCCAAAGTCCTGGGATCATAGACGTGAGCCACCGCGCCCGGCTGAGCTCACTGACTTTTAAATGAAGAGAACGAAGTACAAAAAAGTGACATGAATCATCTACTCTGCAGTAGGTAAGAGATCAGGAACAAAAACCCACATCAGTCCAGTATCCTTTCCACAGTAAAATATCTTATCCCTAACACAGTGTGAGATATTCAGTGATCTCTCTATACCTCTATGCTCTATAATCATATTCAGCAACGTGAATATTTTTTCTCACCAGAAATGATCTCTCCTCTGCTCTTAAAATTCCCACCTATATTTCTAAGACAACTCAAATCCCACTTTCTCCATCGAACTTTCCCTGACCAGGCCAGCTTGGTGAGTTCCTCTCCATATCTGAGTTCACACGGTATCACCATTTTTGCCTTTCACTTAACATTGATTAAATGCAGCATTTTGCCAGTTCTGGTCTGCTGTTTTGAGCTGCTGTTTATCCCTCAGCATCCCAGGGGCTGTTTCATCGCCATGGAGGGTAATCAATGATTTTCTTTTTTGTGTCTACTGAGTACAAGCTACGCACTACCCCACGGCTACAAAAAGAGGCTCTCATTCTCACAGTACATACAGTTTCACTGGGGCACTGCAGGCACACACATCTGAAAAGTCATATGCAGCAGAAAGCTATCTAAAATGAAAAGAATAGCACAGACAGGAAGTATTCAATGTGTGGAGAAAGGGAGCTCAGGCTGGGCTGAGGAAGAATCCGAGGAGGATTTGGGTCTTGAGATGGTTGTTGAAAATGGGAAAGTGGCCAGATGAGAGGAGAGAAGAAGAGGAGAATAGAGGGGGCCTGGCATTCCAGATGATCAAAGGCACAGAGCAGAAATGAACAAAACCCCACTGGAGGGGAGTGAGTGGATCCGCCTCACCAAAGTGGAAGGCCCAAATTAGGTAACAAACAGGAGATATGTTTGGAAAGTGAAGATGGGAACAGACTACCAAAGGCCTTGAGCGCCCAAGCTAAAACATCTGGACTTTATCCTATGAAGAGTGAATACCATTAAAAGTGCATGAGCAGAGAAGAGACAGCGTAAATATAAGAAACTGTCATCTGAAAGCTCACTCCTAGAGAGCTCTCAAATGGGAAAGATTCTATTCAGTTCTGCCTAGAGACAGCAACATGGACCACATGATTTCTTCCAGTCTAAATGTGAAAACCATGATGTCACACCCAGCTCACTGGTCTTCCAGAGCCCATCTGCCAACCAGTTCATACCAATCGGCTTTCTTCTTTCTGTTTGTAGCTCTTGCTTTGATCCTCCTCACTCTCCTTCTTCCCATCTAAATATTCTCCAAGTGCTTCCCTGTGATGGAAAAAAGCAGAGAAAATGAAGTTATTTCTAATACGTAAATTCTATATTTAAAGGTTTTGGCCTGGCACAGTAGCTCATGCCTGTAATCCCAACAGTTTGGGAGACCAAGACAGGAGGATTGCTTAAGGCCAGGAGTTCAAGATCAGCATGGCCAAAATAGCAAGACCCCCATCTCTATTTATGTAAAACAATAATAATAATAATAATAATAATAATAATGGTTCCATTGTACTTCATATATAAATATATATTCCATATGGATTAAAATTTAAATATTGGCCAGGTGCAGTGGCTCACACCTGTTAATCCCAGCGCTTTGGGAGGCCAAGGCAGAAGGACTGCTTTAAATCAGGAGTTTGAGACCAGCCTGGGCAACATAGAGAGACACTATCTCTATCATTTAAAAAACTTAAATATTAAAAAAACTGCAATCATAAAAACACTAGAAGTAAATACAGGAGAATATCTATATAATCTTAGCATAGAAAACCCATCTTTGAATAAGACCAAAGTCAGAAAATAAAAAGATTAAAAGATTTTACTTTCTAAAATTTAGAAATTTTATCCTTGAAAGTCAAGGGATAAACTGATAAAAGATATTTGACAAAATTTTACTATCCATAAAATAGGAAGGGCTCCTTCAAATCAATAAACAAAAGACAAAATACCAAAGAGAAAAACTGGCAGAGGATATGAACAGGCAGTTTCCCAAAGAAATACAAATGGCAAATAGGCATTTGAAAATATGGTCAGCTTCACATATAATCAGAGAAACCAAAACCCTGTGAGGTGTCATTACTCTATTATGAGACTAAAAAAGATTTTAAGGGTTGACAGTATCAGGTGGGAGCCCAGCTTTCCACATTCCATGGGTGGGAATGTAAAGTATAACAACGTGTCTAAAAGGCAATTCGGCAAGATTTGTCAAAAGCTTAAATGTGCCTTCCCTCTGACCCAACAATCCTTTCTTTAGGAATTTTTTACAGAAAGCCTTTACAAGTACATAAATAAATATGCACGAGAAAGATGATTGTAGCACTGACAATACTCGTAAGACCATGGAAACATTCTACATACATATTAGTAGCTGACTAATTAAGAGAAAACAATATTTCAGAAATACTTTGTAGCCTACAAAAAGAATGATGTAATACCTAACAGCAGGGAAAGATGTCCACAGCAGTTAAGTAAAGGGAGCCAGTTTTAGAAAAATATGTAGACTATAATACACATTTTCTTTTTAAAACAGGCTTGGCTGGGCGCGATGGCTCACGCTTGTAATCCCAGCACTTTGGGAGGCCGAGGCGGGTGGATCGCGAGGTCAGGAGATCGAGACTACCCTGGCTAACACGGTGAAACCCCGTCTCTACTAAAAATACAAAAAATTAGCCGGGCGTGGTGGTGGGCGCCTGTAGTCCCAGCTACTTGGGAGGCTGAGGCAGGAGAATGGCGTGAACCCGGGAGGCGGAGCTTGCAGTGAGCCGAGCCGAGATAGCGCCACTGCACTCCAGCCTGGGCGGGAGAGCGAGACTCTGTCTGAAAAACAAAAACAAAAACAAAAAACAGGCTTATATGTGCACAGGACATTTTCTGGAAGTATATATGACAAACGAATAACAGCAATTACTTAAAGAACAGGAATTAAATTACTGAGAAGTTCTATTTTCTACATTTTTGTATTGCATGAATTTTCTAAATAGTGCATGTGTGTGTGCTTGTCTGTGTGTGTGAATCAGAAAATGAGACTAAAGGGGCGGTGGCGAGATAAAGTTCCAGATTATAGACTTCTTCAGGGGAGGCATGGGGGAGTGACCTCACCAACCCCCACGCCACTTACATCATCAAGACCCTGCTCTCTCCTCTGGCACACAGTGTCCATAAGGGCTACCAGTACTGCCTTAGGAAAAATGAAACCTCAACATGACACAGCAGGTTTGTTTTTTTGTTTGGTTTCATTTCGTTTTTTGAGACGGAGTTTCGCTCTTGTTGCCCAGGCTGGAGTGCAATGGCGCGATCTCGGCTCACTGCAACCTCTGCCTCCTGGGTTCCAGCAATTCTCCCGCCTCAGCCTAGCAGATCTCTTTATCTCATTCTTTCTTGACTTTTTCTAACTCTGACTTCCATCTCTACTCCCTTTGTTCAAAGTCCAGGACAATCCTACCTAGTGTAACACTATTTTGGAGATACAGAATTGAGTTACCATCCTCCACTCCCAATCTAACCAAAACCCCTTGTTTTTTTCTTGTCATTTCATTGGCTTCCCTATTCTTATTGAACATGCTCTTTGTTTTCTTACCAAGTAAACTAATTGTTCCATTTTACTCAGGTCTTCAGCTATTGCCAGGCTTATCATGTTCCCATCACCACTCAAAAAATTCCCTTGACTTTCTACTTTGACCACCAATTAATGACCAACTCTATTTAAATAATCCCTTCCAAGTGCTTTCTGGATCAAAGATCAGTGCTTCAGAAACAAACAAACAACAACAACAACAAAAAAACCATGCAGTCCAGATATGCTATAATTTTTTTTTTTTTTAAGACAGAGTCTTGCTCTGTCCCCAGGCTGCAGTGCAGTGGAGCCATCTCGGCTCACTGCAACCTCCGCCACCCAGGTTCAAGTAATTCTGCTGACTCAGTCTCCCGAGTAGCTGGGACGACAAACACGCACCACCACACCCAGCTAACTTTTGTATTTCTAGTAAAGATGGGGTTTCACCATGTTGGCCAGTCTGCAGATATGCTATAAATTCTTATTAACTACTATTAACTTAAATCTCATCATTGTCTTTTATGCATCATTTTTTACTGCTTAGCACTGTACTGTCCAATATGGTAGCCAATAACCACATGTGGCTATAAAGCACTTGAAATGTGCCTGGTGCAAATTGAAATGCGCTATGAGTGTAAAATACACTCTAGATGGATTTTGAAGACTTTGAACAAAAAATATTTGCAATATATCTCATCAGTATGATTTACACTGATTGCATATTAAAATAATACTTTTATATATTGGGTTAAATAAATTATTAATTTCACCTGTTCTGTTTTTACCACTTTCAATGTGGCTACTAGAAAACTTGAAATGACATATGTGGCTGATACTGTATTTCTGTTGTTCAGCAGTGTAGAACTAGTATGTTCTCCAAAGCAACTGTTTCAGACTTCTGTCTATTCAGATTTGAGCTCCCTCCCTCCTGGGGGCTGAGTCCTCTTTTGGGAAGCTGTTTCCTCACCACCGCCCCATGTTTGTGGTCTAAATGGGAGCTGCCATCTTGAATACTCTACTTCCTGACCAATTCTCAGGATTTAAAAAAATTGGAACTTGGTTGATTGTCTACCTGGGTTTAGAGTTCTAGGTTGGAAATAACTTTCCTTCACTGCTTCCTTCCAGTGTTGCTAACTGAGAAACCTGAAGTCATTCTGTCTTTATGCCTTTCTTTGTATGTGACCATATTTTTGTTTTTTATATGTGACCATGTTTTTGTTTTGTTTTGTTTTGTTGTGTTTTGTTTTGTTTCACTCTGGAAGCTCGTAGGCCCTTTCTCTTTATTCTCAGTGTTCTGAACTTTCTCAATGGTGTGCCTTAGGGTGGGTCTATTTTCATCCATTGTGCTAGACATTTCAATCAGGAACCTCATGATCTTCAGGTCTGAGACATGTTCTTGAATTCTTTCCATGATAATATGCTCCCTGCTCCATTCTTTCTGGATCTAGAAAAGTGATAATATCTTCTAATTAAAAAAAAATATTTTTCTCTGGCTGGGTGCAGTGGCTCATGCCTGTAATCCCAGCACTTTGGGAGGCCAAGGCGGGTGGATCACCTGAGGTAAAGAGTTCGAGACCAGCCTGGCCAACATGGTGAAACCCTGTCTCTACTAAAAATACAAAAATTAGCCGGGCATAGTGGCAGGTGTCTGTAATCCCAGCTATTTGGGAGGCCAAGGCAGGAGAATTGCTTGAACCCAGGAGGCAGAGGTTGCAGTGAGCCGAGATCATGCCATTGCACTCCAGCCTGGGCAACAAGAGTGAAACTCCGTATCAAAATTAATAATAATAATAATAATAATAATAATA
The DNA here is from genome assembly GCF_000001405.40 of Homo sapiens. Taxonomy (NCBI): domain Eukaryota; kingdom Metazoa; phylum Chordata; class Mammalia; order Primates; family Hominidae; genus Homo; species Homo sapiens. The sequence continues at coordinate 26,410,254 of NC_000002.12, read as the reverse complement.
ATAATAATATTTTCTCTATAAGTTTCTACCTTTTTTCTTTGCGCTCTATTTTCTAGGTGATTTCATCATCTTTATTTTCCAACCCTTCTAATGTTTTCTATTTCTATAATTTTTTTATTTCTAAGAGCTCTATTTTTTTTCTCTGAACACTCCTTTTAGTAGCATTCTATTCTTGTTTCGTGGTTGCCATATCATCTCTTTTTTCTTTGAGGATCTTTTTTTTCCCTCTTTTTCCCCCAAAGACTTCAAAACTCTCTCTGAGGATCTGAATGATCATCTTTTTGTGGTATTCTTGTTTTTTTCTCCCCACATATAGTCTTAATGTCCTCTTAGGTGCTTTTTTCTCTTTGTTAATTTTCATATCTACCATTCATGTTAAAGACTTTCCTCAGATGCCTAGAAATCCTCAGTTACTGACTCATGACAAGAACTAAAAAGCCTATGAAAAAATTAAAACATGGGTTAAAAATAAATAAACACTGTTTTACGTGGAAAAAATCAAGCTAATGATAAAACAACTCTTATGAGGTAGCTTTTAAAGCTGTTTTCACTTATATCATGTAATTTTAGAACTTTGAGTTCCATTATTCTAGTTGTTGCTGAATGTGTCTATTGCTCTTATTTTCAAAATGTTCTCCAAATTCTTGCCTATCTTGTCTGAGATGTACCAAAGACCTAAAGCTATAAGTATAATGGTAACTTCCATGACAACTTGGGAAAAGGATACTAATACTACCAATTTTACATGTCACCATCTTCACAGTAGCTACCTAGTTGTTGTTAAAGAAACAGCTGCCTTTAAAAAAAAACTACATAAAGGATGGTTTGTTTTGGTTATGTGTACATAAACACACCTGATTATACAGAATCCAAGAATTTAGAGAAAATAAGGACAAATTAGTATCATTTCAATCTAAGTCCCTAGCCATTTGGAAGCTTGTAATATGGTGTCAGGATAAAGCAGAAAAAATAAATTTTAATAGTGTGACAAATAAAAATTTAAACATTAAAAACAAGCTGATGGGGCTGAGCACAGTGGCTCATGCCTGTAATCCCAGCACTATGGGAGGCCAGGGCAGGAGGACCACTTGACCCAGGAGTTTAAGACTAGCCTGGGCAACATAGCAGGACTCCATCTCTAAAAAAAAAAAAAAAATTAGCCGGGCATGGTGGCCTGCACCTGTAGTGCCAGACACTCAGGAGGCTGAGGCAGGAGGACTGCTTGAGCCCAGGATTCAAGGTTATACTAAGCTATGATCAAACCACTGCACTCCAGCCTGGGCAATGGAGTGAGACTCTGTTGCTTAAAAAATAAATAAATAAATAATAAAAATAAATTTTTTTTAAAGCTGACGGGAGCTGTGAGTACAAGGGTGTGGCTTAACAACTGTGCATGTCAGCGTGGGCTGATTTAATCGGGCTGCTTTGTGAGCAAACCCGATGTTAGTGTCTTTATTATTTTTATTTTATTTTATTTTATTTTTGAGACAGAGTCTCCCTCTGTCACCCAGGCTGGAGTGTAGTGGCACGATCTCGGCTCACTGCAACCTCCGCCTCCCAGGTTCAAGCAATTCTCGTGCCTCAGCCTCCCAAGTAGCTGGGATTACAGGCATGCACCACCACGCCGCTAATTTTCATATTTTTAGTAGAGACGGGGTTTTACCATGTTGGCCAGGCTGGTCTCAAACTCCAGACCTCAGGTTATCCACCCCTCTTGGCCTCCCAAAGTGCTGGATTACAGGCATGAGCCACTGTGCCCAGACCAACATTAGTGTCTTTAAATCCTTCTTTTGGGGCTGGTCGGATTCCACAGAGAAACTTCTCCAGCCTCCTGCCTGGAATATGAAGGCTGAAGTGCCACCATTCCAGGAACTGGTGAGAGGAGAGCTGGAAGGTCCTGGCATCCACTGTGCATATTTTCCCTGAATCCCCTTATTTTCCATGAAGTATCCTTGCCTCGCCTCTGTCTAGCATCCCCCAAGCCCTAGATCCTCCGCTTGACTTTCTCCAAACCTCCAATCTTCTGTGCAAAGAGAGAGAAAGGTTCTAGGCATCTACCTATTAATTTTCCAATCGGTTGTCCTTATTTTGGTTCCCTTTGTCACCTCCACTTCTAGATGTCAACTGAAAAAGAGTCAGAATCCACAAAATCAAAAGAGAACTTTATTTCTAAAGGACACAACCTGCAGGCAGGAAGCAAGCTTTCAACTGAGACTGAGAAGCAGGCTTTGAAGGGGAGAAAATAAGGCAGATATTTCTGCTAGGTGAGGAGGTAGGAAACGCATATTCTACAGGATATAGGAGAAGGTTGTGAATATTTACGGAGAAAACTCATTACGCACGTGCATTAGGCTTACATGTGCACGGAACATACAACAATATGCTACTCATGTTCACTTTGGGGTGGAGATTTAACATTTAAATGTACTACAATTGGGTCATAAATGCAAAAAGGTGATGCTTAGGGCACAAGTCCAGGATCTGTGCAGTCTCAGGGAACCGGTCCAAACTGGCCTGAAGTTGGCAGTCGTCCAGGAAGAGGTCTCTGTGGTCCAGGGTTGTTGTCAGGTTGGAACCATAAACATGAGGAGGAGGGTGCCGGGTGGTCGGACGAAGTAAGCCAAGGAGTCTTCTGGCCTTTTGTCATCTTCAGGTCAGCCTTTGATAAGACCTCATAATAATTAGTAAAGGGACGGGGGTAGCAGGAAGTGGACATGTCCAGTCTCCTGTCACTGCTAAGGGCTAAGAACTTTGAGGTCTCTCGGCCACAGAGGTCCTGTCACTCCATTGGAAGGGCCATAGGATTTTTTAAATCCTCACGGATGAATATGATATGCCATCAGTCTCCTAGTCTTTGGGGATTTAGTGCAGAGTAAATCAAGGGGGTTCTCAGCTTTCTTCACTATCAGCTTATTTTTCCATCTTCTTGAATCTGCTCACCCATTTACCATCTATCTTGTGCTTCCCAGCATCCACAATTTCATTGCTGTTGAGTCCTCCTGATCTTGACTTTGTGGATTTGCGTCTTTTTTACTTAATCCCCTTAAATATCATTTTAATGGAGTTAAAATGATAGAGATCTAAGGTAGATGTATGTGTTCCATCTCGCATCTTTACCCAGAAGTGACATCTCCCGGCTGGGTGTGGTGGCTCACACCTATAATCCCAGCACTTTTCGAGGCTAAGGTGGCAGGATCACTTGAGCTCTGGAGTTCAAGACCAGTCTGGGCAACATGGTGAAACCCCATCTCTACCAAAAATACAAAAAATTAGCGGGGTATGGTGGTGTGCACCTGTGGTCCCAGCTACTCGAGAGGCTGGGGTGGGGGGGATCACTTGAGTCTAGCTGGTGGAAGTTGCAGTGAGCCAAGGTCACACCACTGCATTCCAACCCGGGTGACAGAGTGAGACCCTGTCTCAAAAAAAAAAAAAAAAAAAAAAGGAAAGTGACATCTCCCAGAAATGTCAAACCTAAACTAAGACACCAGAGATTGGGAGTATCAGGGCCATTAGCACATTATTCCTATTCTTTTTGGTTTTTTTGAGAAGGAGTCTCGTTCTGTCATCCAGGCTGGAGTACAGTGGCTCGATCTTGGCTCACTGTAACCTCCACCTCCCGGTGTTCAAGCAATTCTCATGCCTCAGTCTCCTGAGTAGCTGGGATTACAGGAGTGTGCCACCAAGCCAGGCTAATTTTTTGTCTTTTTAGTAGAGACAGGGGTTTCACTATGTTGGCCAGGCTGGTCTCGAACTCCTGGCCTCAAGTGATCCACCCACCTCAGCCTCCCAAACTGCTAGGATTATAGGCGTGAGCCACCACGCCCGGCTGTACTCTTTATATGACATTTGATTCTGTTAACTTTCACCTTAACATTACACCTCATGACATAAGAAGGCCCAGGCAGCAACAGCAGTGGGTATCACAGGCAACCGAGGGGTGGGTGCACTGCCTATAGGTAAAGTAAAAACAATACAACTGCTTTTTATTATCACATGTGCCAGCAATTCGAAACAATGTCAGTAGTAAAATATTCCTTTCTGAAAAAGCTCTTGTCAATCTAAGTTCTGATCCATTGCTGCAATTACTGTTGGCTATTAATAATATATATGTAAGCTTCAATATAACATATTTTAATCTCTTTTCCTTTAATTAACAGAGAAGTTAATTCAGGGAGCTTCCAGGCTCGCACAGACTCAGCTGCATGCATTTGTTTTGAGAGCACATTGAAATGGTACAGAATGGTCCCAGCTCACTTACGCACAATGCGCGGCCCCAACCACTAATAAAGAATAGAGGCAGGGCGCAGTGGCTCACGCCTGTAATCCCAGCACTTTGGGAGGCTGAGGCAGGTGGATTGCCTGAGGCCAGGAGTTCGAGACTAGCCTGGCCAACATGGTGAAACCCCGTCTCTCCTAAAAATAAAAAATTAGCTGGGTGTGGTGGCAGCTGCCTGTAATCCCAGTTACTCGGGAGGCTGAGCCAGGAGAATCACTTGAACCTGGGAGGTGGAGATTGCAGTAAGCCAAGACTGCGCCACTGCATTCCTGCCTGCATAGACAGAGTGAGACTCGGCCTCAAAAAAAAAAAAAAAAAAAAAAAAGATATAGCCTTTAAAAAAAAAAAACAAGACCACCATACCATTATCATAGCCAAAAAGTTCCTTAATATAATTGAATGCCCAGTACAACTCTTTACATTGACAGCTCTTTCTCACCCTCACTGACCACCTACCTTCAGGTGCCACATCTATTATTCTTCATATTTGCTCATTGCTTGTTTCCGTTAGGATTCTTTTCAAAATGTATAATTATGTTATTTGTTTACTTGTTTAGTTGCACTTTATTTTTTCCCATCTCCCTCATTAGAATATAAGCTTCCTGAGAACAGAGATTATATTTGCCTTGTTTATCATAGAATCCCCAGCACAACTGCCAAGGTCAGAGTAGCAGACAAGGGCTTGATCCACAGAGAGTTTTAAAGATGGCTTACAAAATATGGCATCATTTGGTGCAAAACGAAAGGGCAGCCAACAAGAATACAACTCATAGGTGCTCACCAAAGAAAGCAGCAAAGGATAAATAGGCTAAGGGTGCACGCTGGTAAAGATTCATGCTCCCTTGCCCAATTCCTGAACCTAAGCCAGTGTTCAGAGCCAGAATCTATTGACTGAAGAGGCAGCAGGGTCCCCACAAGGAAGGATCTGGAACACAACGGCAAATATATATTGTAATGATTCCCCCAGTTCTTCCCCAAAGGGGCCTAGGGTCATCTACTCAGGAGGGCTGCACAATAAGGAAAGAGGATACCCAGAAATGTTTAGGATTAGAACAGGGTCTGAGTTACCATTGACACCCAGAGACCCAAAGCATGCTCCCACCCACTTAGAGTGAGGACACAGGGGAGGCAAAGTCCTACTTACAGAGGGTCTGCCAAGTCTGTGGACTCAGCCAGCAATCATGTCTCTAATGGCCAAAAGTATAATTGGGACCTACATACTTAGAAGTTTGAAAAACTCCACTCCTTGGCCTATAAATAGAGCTACCATAGTGGGGAAGGCCAAAAGGACATCTCTGAAACTGCACCTCAGTACACAAAAAAAAATATTGCCACCCAGGGGTGTTGGTGGGGATTAGTGCCACCCTGAAGTATCTCAACGATGCAGGAATGGTGATCCCTATTGAATCTCCTTTTAATTCATGGGTCTGGCACCTGCAGAAACTGGATCCTAGAAAGTGACTGTCAACTACCAGAAGCTCCACAGGTAGCACTCCTGAACACAGCATCTATGCAAGTGTGGTAAGCTTCACTAGAGCAAATTTGTACAGCCTCAGGCACAGTATGTGTGGCTACTGATTGGGCCAAATGCATGCTTTTCTACCTCAATCAGGAAAAATAATCAGGAAGTTCACATTTACATGGAACAGACAATGATATACACTCACAAGTCGGTCACACTCACAGGACCATGGTAGTTCTCCTGATCTCTGTCATAATATATTCTGAATATATCAGGGACATCTGGATATCCCAGAGAACATCACAATGATCCATTACTTCAGCACTGGCAAACTATGGCCTGTGGGACAGATCCAGTCCACCACCTGTTTTTGTATGGCTTCCAGGCAAATAATGATTTTTACAATTTTTTTTTTTTGAGACAGAGTCTCGCTCTGTCGCCCAGGCTGGAGTGCAATGGCACGATCTCAGCTCACTGCAACCTCCGCCTCCTGGGTTCAAGCGATTCTCCTGCCTCAGTCTCCTGAGTAGCTGGGATTACAGGCGCGCGCCACCATGCCTGGCTAATTTTTGTATTTTTAATAGAGACAGGGTTTCACCATGTCGGTCAGGCTGGTCTCAAACTCCTGACCTCGTGATCCCGCCCGCCTCAGCCTCCCAAAGTTTTGGGATTACAGGCATGAGCCACTGCGCCCGGCCCAATTTTTTTTTTTTTTTTTTTTGAGATGGAGTTTTGTGCTTGTCACCCAGGCTGGAGTGCAGTGGCGCTATCTCAGCTCACTGCAACCTCTGCCTCCCAGGTTCGAGCAATTCTCCTGCCTCAGCCTCCCAAGTAGCTGAGATTACAGGTGCCTGCCACCACACCTGGCTAATTTTTGTATTTTTAGTACAGACAGGGTTTCGCCATGTTGGCCAGGCTGGTCTTGAACTCCTGACCTCAGGTGATCCTCCTGCCTTGGCCTCCCAAAGTGCTGGGATTACAGGCATGAGCTACGATTTTTTACAATTTTAAATGGTTTTTACAATTTTAAATGATTTTTACAATTCTAAATGGTTAATAAATAAATGGTTAAAAAAAGACTAGGATGAATAAGCAGAGCACAGGGGATTTTTAGGGCAGTAAAAATATTTGGTATAATACTATACTGGTGGGCTCGTGTCACCATAAATTTATCCAAACCCATAGGATGTACAACACCAAAAAGAAACCCTAAGGTAAACAATGGAGTTCAAGTGATAACGATGCGCCAAGGTTCATATATTGTTACAAATGTGCCCTCCAGTGCAGGATGTTGACAGTAGCTGTGCATGTGTGGGGGCAGGGAGTATATGCGAATGCTATACTTTTTGATCAGTTTTGCTGTGGTCCTAAAAACTGCTCTAAAAAATAAAGTTTATTATTATTTTTTATCAAAAGAAGGCTATTTTGTGATACATGAACAGTATATGAAATTCAAATTTCAGTGTCCATAAATAAAGCTTTATTGGAACACAGTCATGCCCATTTGTTTATGTCTTGCCTGTGGCTGCTTTTGCAATACAATGGCAATTGAGCAGCTAGGAAAGAGGCCATATGATCCGAAAAGCCTAAAATATTTACTATTTGGCCCTTTACTGAAAGGGTTTGCCGGCCCCTGCATTCCACTGATGGCCCCGCAGCAATCAGCCAGGGTGAGCGAGTGATGGAAACACACTGCAGGGCTTGGTAAGACATGTGTGCTCCAGACGGTGGGCAATCAACCCTATGAAGGCCCAGGGACTGCCATGTCATTCAAGTTTGTAGGGGTCCAGTGGTCAGTGGGATGCTGGGATAGCCTATCAAGTAAAAAACAAATCTACTGCATTTTGCATCCTCTACAGAGAAGGAAACTCAATGCCTCTTAGGCCACTTTGGGTCCTAGAGACAATACATCCCGCACTTAGGAATATTATTCAGGCTGACACAAAAAGCTGCCAGCTTTGAGTGGTGCCTGGAACAAGAAAGGACCCAGGCCACAGTGTAAGCAGCCAGGCTACTTGGGCCACATGATCCAGCAGACCCTGTGGTTTGGAGGTGTCCGTAGTGGAAAAGATGCCATGTGCAGACCACAGTCGAACGCCACCACGCCCGATTAATTGTTTGATGTTTTATAGAGATGGGGTCTCTCTATGCTGCCCAGGTTGACCATCTCCAACTCCTGGGCTCCAGTGATCGGCCCGCCTCGGCCTCCCTAAGTGCTGGGATGACAGGCGCGCGCCACGGCACCGGCCCAGCGTTTTACTTTCCCATACTCTGCCTGAACCTTCCCGAAGAAATGTTTCTATTTCATCAGGAAACCAGCCCTTCTCCGGCTCCTGCGGCGCGGATCCCGCCCCGCCCGCCCCCGCGCTCACCGCCTCCGGGCTTCTAAGCGCGCAGCGATGCGGAGGCGCCGGGCCTGGATGCGCTCCTGAGAGTTGTCGGAGTGGACCGAGGGCGCGAGAATCTGGGTGGACAAGTGCTCGTCCACGTTCGGGTCCAGGGCCTCTAGGGACCCCGGCGGATTCATGGCAGGAGTCCCTGGTCCCTAGGCGGCTCCCTCCGCACCACCTCCAGACCTCAGGCTGGTTGCTAGGAACAAACCGTTGCCAGGGAGAGCGGTCACCGGAGCCACAGCCCGAGTGGTTGCGCGCGCAGCTCCCTGGGCCCAGCCTGCCGCCAGCCGCCGTTCCGGCCGAGCATCCCAGCCTCGGGCTGACGCCTCTCCCGCCCGTGGGATGTCAGGTCTGTTGTCAGGCCCACGAAGGCCCGGTCGTGTTAGCGGAGCTGTGGAGTCTCACCAGGAGACTAGAGGACTAAAGAACTGGACCAAGTTGTGGTTCATCACTTGCTGACCCTGATGATTAATTCATCTTCCATTCATTCATCAAATATTCCTCCAACTCATATTCACCAAATAAAATTGAGCGCCTACTCGATGCCAAGCGCTGTGCTTGGATACAGGATACCAACCTGCAATCAAATACTTATGAAAGAGGAAAAGTGGAATAGAGGAAAACAGTCCGTGGGAGGGGGGAGGGATAAAAGTTAGAAATGCGGAAGCACTATTAAATTCTCAACTGTCCCCAGAAAGGCGCTATCTTCTGGGCGTCTCATTGTCAACAAAAATAGTGTTCTCATTGAGAATTAAAACCTGGCGCGCTGGCTCATGCCTCAGCCTCCCAACACTTTGGGAGGCCGAGGTGGACAGATCACTTGAGGTCAGGAGTTTGAGACCAGCCTGGTGAACATGATGAAACCCCGTCTCTACTAAAAATACAAAAATTAGCTGGGTATGGTGGTGGGCACCCATAATCCCAGCTACTCGGGAAGCTGAGGCAGGAGAATCGCTTGAATCTGGGAGGTGGATGTTGCAGTGAGCCGAGATCGAGCCACTGCACTCCATCCTGAGCAATAGAGCAAGACTCTGTCTCAAAAAAACCCAACCAACCAACCAAACAAAAACTGGATACCATTTAACAGGGTTCTGTCCCATTAGCCCGTGGGGAATTAAGGGCACTGGATGAGCAGTGAGAAAGGGTGAGTACTAGTCCTAGCCCTGCCCTGCCACCTTGGGCAAGTCACAACTTCTTGAGGAGCATTTTCTCAGCTGTTAAATGATGCAACCCACAGACAACTGTGCGGCCAAGACGACCCGTCCTTTGTGAGTAAGAACTGCCCAGAGGCAAATGGAGTGGGTTTTTAAAATCAGTTCTTCCACGTTTGCAAGCAGTAGAGAGGTTTAGGAATGCCAAAACCATCCAACAGCTATAGAGTCTAACAGCAGCTGCCTGGATCCTTGTCTCACACCTGCCTAGGTGGTGGTGGTAGGAGCGGGGGTACTTGCTTCTAGGCTTCAGGGCCTTCTGCCAGATCTCTGTCTCCTTTGGTTGAAACCTAAAGTATTAAACTCTCCTAGGAGCCATGATACAGCTCTGACCAAAAACTCGTCCAGGTCCTGGTTCATGTTTCCACTATCCGTAAGGACAGAAACAAGCATGTGTGCATGCGCATGTCTATGCCTGGGAGTGGGATACCATGAGAAAGTCAGGGGGAATCAGCTGTTGCACAAGAGGTAAGTGAGAGCAAAGGTACCATACAAACCCATGAAGAGTGACCAGTGAGATACTTGGCCCTGCACTGTTCTGATACCACTTCCAACATCTTTTTATATAAGAAATCTGACTCCATTTTTTGCTGCTGACATTTGGCTGCTGGCAGCTTTTACGCAGCACTCCCTCTTTCTTCTCCACATCTGGGCAAGCTGTTAAAAAAAGCCTAGGTGCTCTTTTTGGTGCTGGCAGATTTCATCTGCGTGCACAGGATACCCTCCTCCCAGCCTCACCCCTTAACCACAATAAAAGCCCCAAGCTTGTCTCCTTTCCTGGCTCTCTCTAGCCATTTTCTGACCAGCTGGGAGGCCCTCTTTGCTCCCACAGGCAGCCTCAATTATGTAATAAACCTTTTTCACTGGTGTGGGAAACACTTTCACTCACCGCTGGAAAGGGACCTCCTAGGAGGACAGTTTGCCAAAATCTATTAACTGTTTAAATTGGCATACTAGGGTAAAGGGTGGAATAGGGAGAGATTTGTTAAAGGATACAAAATGACAGGTTCTAGTGTTCTGCACCACTGGAGGGTGACTATAGTCAATAACATAGTTTCAAATAGCAACGAGGATATTGAGCATTCCCAACACAAAGAAATGACAAATGTTTGAGCTGATAGGCATGCTAATTACCAGACCTGATCACTATACATTATATGGATTGAAATATTACTATGTACCCCATAAACATATATAACTATTATTTCCTTTTTTTTTTTTTTTTTTTTTTTGAGACAGCGTCTTGCTCAATTGCCCAGGCTGGAGTGCAGTGGCATAGTCTTGGCTCACTGCAACCTCTACCTCCTGGGTTCGAGCGATCCTCCTTCCTCAACTTCCCAAGTAGCTGGGACTACAGGCGTGTGCCACCATGCCCAGCTAATGTTTATTGTATTTTTAGTAGAGACAGGGTTTTACCATGTTGGCCAGGGTGATCTCAGACTCCTGACCTCAGGCGATCCACCCGCCTCGGCCTCCCAAAGTGCCAGGATTACAGGCATGAGCCACTCCGCCCGGCCTGCCGAATTTTTTTAAATACTAAAAATTTTTTAAACTGAACAAAGGACAGAGAGAGGAAGAAATATTTTCATGGGGCAGACAACTGTGGTTGTAGAGGTCAAAGGAATGAAACAAAGAGACAAAGAAAAACCACTAAACAAGAAAGTCAGAAGACATGTAATGAATTATGATTAAATATAAATGGGAAAATGCATGCTTAATTTTCCATGCCTTTGTAAATAGTTCATAAGTGAGTTAAATTTAGAAAATTGTTAAAAACTGAAAAAACTAGATAAAAACATATTTATTTGTATACACACAAAAATAAATTAGCATATCCATTCACTAGGCAATTCTAGTTTAAAGATCATCACAAGGAGATCATGGATCTAGCTATAGCTCATTGGGGTCACAACTATATCAGTTTTATTCGGTATTTTATACATAGCACCTAGCACAATATTTGATATGTAGTAAGTGCTCAACAAACTTTTTTTGAAAGAAACGTATATAGATGTATCTGTATGTCCATTCCAGTTACTTGTAATATTAAAAAACTAGATATGACAAAATCCATCAATAGGGGAACCGATAAAAGAATCATGGGATTCTCTAACACAAGAATAAAGGTGACCTAGAAAGACATCCAAGATACATTACATGAGAAAGGGAAGAGGCAGGCAGCACAATATAGAGCCTAAGCCGAGTTTGATTTGAAATGTAGACAGTAGTACACAAGAAAAACAGGGGGAATACCACAAAGTAGTCAATATCCCTCAGGGGTGGGCTTATGGGTGATTTTCAGATTCCCTGAAGATTAAAAAAAAATGTTTACAATGAGGATAAATCCCTTTTGACTCAATAAAACATAAAGCTTATTTATTCATGTTTTTGTAAGAGAAATAACAGGAGACCCCCAAGAGAGTGAGGCAGGCAAGTAGGGCTGTTATAGATGAGAGGGACTTGGGGAAGGGAGGCAGGTGATGTCCATTCACCTTGATGACTGACCAGCATCTAGAGTGTGGTCCTCAACTGGTAGGCAATGCTGGTTCATACTAATAAGCTCATACAGGCCGGGCACGGTGGCTCATGTCTATAATCCCAGCACTTTGGGAGGCCAAGGTGGGTGGATCACGAGGTCAAGTTCGAGACCAGCCTGACCAACATGGTGAAACCCCATCTCTACTAAAAACACAAAAATTAGCTGGGTGTGGTGGTGCATGCCTGTAACTCCAGCTACTCAGGAGGCTGAGGCAGGAGAATCGCTTGAACCCGGGAGGCAGAGGTTGCAGTGAGCAGAGATTGCGCTCTAGCCTGGGTGACACAGCAAGACTCCATCTCACAAAAAAAAAAAAAAAAAAAAAAAAAAAAAAAAAAAGCTCATACAAAAGCCTGGCTGGCTCATACTAACAAGCTCACAAAAGAAAAACATAGAATTTCTTTTAGCAAGCAAGTACAACCATCACACAGGGCAGTGTGCATTTTCGTGCCTTTCGTGTAGATCAGCCCACAGAGATGTGCTGGTCACAAAGAGGATCAAACTCTGACTGGGAAGTCCCTTGATATGTAGGACTGACTGCCATGGTTCAGAGGCTCACAATGGGGATAATCTGCCACAAGCACAGTCGAGTTCCTCATCCCTGAGTAGGTTTTTGAGGAATCTGGCTATATGGGCTTCCCTTGCTAAGGAAGGTATGTGGGCATCCACCTTCAGCTTTTATAGCCTTTTTTCAAAACAAGAAGGATGAACAGATTTGATTTTATATCTTACTAAGTCTAGTCACACTTAATTCTACATCCAATAAGTTTACACTAACTCACCTTAATTGGAATGTGAGGATGCTGACAAATTCATCATTTAGACAACTTCTTAGGTTATTTCTATCTTTCGATTTGTGTGAATTTTACTAATTAGATTCTGAGAAGGCAATCTTACCAATTTTTAATTTGGGGAACTGCCTTACCATCATCTTCATATACTGCCTCAAAAGGCATGAAGGAGGAAAGAGAGGGGAGGAGGCATGGAAGTCATGAGCTGTGTCACATGGTTTAGAAAAAAAGTTCAAAGAAAAAAGACAGAGAACTAGATATTAGTAGAAACCAAGCACCTACCTTAGTCCACTGACTGTGCTAAACACCCTGCATGCATTATCCTCATTCAATCCTTCACATGGTGTAATAGTGGTAATATTGATCCCATTTTATAGATGAGGAAACTAAGGCTTAGAAAAAAGTAAAAAGCTCTTTCTTCAAAGTTTGCAGAGTTGAACATGACTAAGAAACAGCCATTGTATGAAAACTTTGGGAGGTTTTAAGAAAACTCTCAGAATGAAAAGAAGAAGAAAATTGAAGGAGCAGTTGTAAAGTTTTCTTTCAGGAAATTTGTGAACAGAGGAAAAAAGATGAGAGTGGGAAGAGAAGCAAGACCCTTTGGGGGCATAGGGTTTTTTTTTAAGTTTTGGTAGCCCCAAGAGTGGTTACGTAGTATCTACCTGGTATGTGTCATCAGGCACTCGGGAGGTGTTTGAGGTTTGCAGATAGAAGGGAGGGAATAACTGCTACCGCAACCAAGAGCGTGGGAGGGAAAGGGGTTAAGAGCGCACAGCTGGAGAACAGCCTGGGTTAAAACATGGGGCATTTTCTTCCTCATTGTCTTCAAGCCTGTTACTGAAATTTTTTTTTTCTTTTATCTTTTTTTTTGAGACAGAGTCTTGCTTTGTCACCCAGGCTGAAGTGCAGTGGCGCGATCTCAGCTCACTGCAACCTCTGCCTCCCGGGTTCAAGCGATTCTCCTGCCTCAGCCTCCTGAGTAGCTGGGACTACAGGTGCGGGCCACCACGCATCGCTAATTTTTTGTTACTTTTGGTAGAGATGGGGTTTCACTGTTAGCCAGGCTGGTCTCGATCTCTTGACCTCGTGATCCACCTGCCACGGCCTCCCAAAGTGCTGGGATTACAGGCGTGAGCCACTGTGCCTGGCCTGCAATTTTTTTTAAATGCCTACTGCCAGAGCTGGGAGATCGATGTAAAAATGGGAAATATTCTCCTCAGAAGCAATGTCATGTAATGGGAGTTATAGTTTCTATACTATAATCTAGACGTACTAAGTATGGTCTAACAGGTTTTTATGGGATTCGTCTGGAAAATTAATACCATATGTTAACACTCTTTCTATGGGAAAATGCTTCTGAGGAAGAAACCACCTTACAAACTAACTTAGGCGTGACCCAGTCATTATTAGACTATAGAGACTGCCACCACCCAGTTCTGGGCGAGTCAGGAGCAGTATACTATGAAAAGCTGTTACTGCCACCTGCCTCGTATTCTGCCTTTTGAAACAAGTCACAGGATCACAGAACGCCCAGGAGCAAGCGGCTGATCTCTCTAAAAACAGAACAAAACCTTTTCAGTGTTTTGCTTTAAAATAATCAATGATTCTCTGAGACAAGTGGCTGGACATTAGTTTTCTCCCCATAGCTCCCTCCCCTTTTGCACTTACCAAGGAAAACAAAGAAGACAATCTGAAAACAATTAAAAGGATTTAAAAATTACTCTTTTACTTTTATTACAATAAATAATTATCAATAATAGAATTAAACAATTTTCAATTAAAACCTACTGCATTACTTTGGGGTTTCACAGCAGCAGAAACAAACATAAATCCAGTTGAAAGGGCAAGGCTTCCAGAATCCAGTGACAAGAAACAGTCTGGTCTTGATTATTCGGGCTAGCAATGGGAAACACTGATACAGATAATGCAAAAACAATGAAATGCATCGGCATACTCTCTTTGTACATCACATTATCTGACACTTTAAAATATTCCAGCTAAGTAATTTAAGCAAGCCATGAAGCTCTGTTTCTGCAACAGTTAGAGTTCTCCCCCAGCAAGCCCGCAGCACAACTGCTCCCAGAGCCACCCTCTGGCCAGAAACGGGCCCCATCATCATGCAGACCTAGAAGCCTCCACCCTGGTGGAAGCAGCCATCTTTCTCAAAGCTCTTTCTGGCTCACACAACCCATGGTTAAAGGAAAATGGGAAAGTGACATATTTAAAGGGCCTTTCTCGAGGACTGAGATGAACTGGAAGACAGACAGACTGTGGCTCCAGATCAGGAAGAGGCTTCAGAGTAAGGGCCACATGCAGATGAACTCCACATGAAGAAACTATCTGATAAAGGCTGACCATTTTGCTGATAATCAAGCAGACTGCATGTATATATGAATATATCATACATACATATGTAGTGAATATATGTGTACATATTAAATAGGCATACACACACATCACACACAACCAGATAAAATAAATGGTACATACATTGCTACTATGAACACTGCACGTCCCAGACAGACCAATGACTAATATGTTCAATTAAACTACTTGAATTAAACTACTCTTCCTCTCCCCAAAATATTCTGCTTGCAGCAAACATATTCCAGTTGCTCAAGCGGTGTTGTTTCTAGGTTCCTGAGAAGGAATGGAATCGTCCTCTTGTTTCAGAACACTACAGAAAGCCAACTGCAACAGGACCAAGCTAAACAATTCATATTTGATTTGGCCATGATTCCTCCACCTATTCTTAGTCACAGGGCATGAAACCTTACTCAGAAAGATATCAATTTCTTTTTCTACAACTGGCTACAAATTTACTGTATTATGTTAGATGGAGGGGACTGGGGGAAGGCGGGCAGCAGGGAGTTTACATGTTGGCAATCATTCATTGCCTTTCCCTTTACCCAGAGAAAATGCTACTTTAAAAAAAAAAACACCCAGAAATTTAGAGTTCAATAATGAATTTTGCTTTCTTGGCACATTTTTGAAATGATCATATCATTACATGTAGCTAGGTCTTTATCTCCTGAATGCTCCTCTAGGGAGGCAAGTTATCTAAACAACAAAATAACCTACAAAAAAAGTTAATATTGTGAGCAGTCTCAATTTGTAGTTATTAAACTCAAAGTCTAATGCTGAAAGGCAACAGTAATTTAAACAGATTTGTTTATTTTTATTATTATTTTTTGAGATGGAGTCTTGCTCTGTCACTCTGGCTGGAGTGCAGTGGCACAATCTCTGCTCACTGCAATCTCCATCTCCCAGGTTCAAGTGATTCTCCTGCCTCAGCCTCCCCAGTAACTGGGATTACAGGCACATGCCACCATGCCCAGCTAATTTTTTTGTATTTTTATTACAGACGGGGTTTCGCCATGTTGCTCAGGTTGGTGTCGAACTCCTGGGCTCAAGCAATCCACCTGCCTTGGCTTCCCAAAGTGCTGGGATTACAGGCACCTGCCCCAGATTTATAATGCTATTCACAGATCTTGCAGAATTATAACAGGCTCCTTCTACAACTTGGTTAGTGACATCAAGTACTAACTATATATGTTCCAGGTCAAGAACTTACTCTTGAGATATTCAAAAAGTGCTTGTCAAGAATATCAGAATCTAGAATTTATGGCAAATTGTATATATTTTAATAAAAACCTTAAAATAAATTCTAATTTTAATTGCTACCCATAGAAACTCCTCAAGAGAAGACATTAGCCAAACAGACATGAAATATCCACAGCATTTAGCTACTCCCTCGTCTTCAGTACTGTCTCTAACTTCAGTTGCAGTATATGTGCTGCTGAAGAGCAGTCTGCTTCCAATTTCAACACAGCATTAAGGTACCCTATAGCCATCATCCAATATACTTGCTTTAAAAACAGCACTACTCTGATTTAGCCTGGCTTTCTAAGAATGATTCTCTGGAGAGAAAGACCATGTGAATGGTCTGTGGAAGACCAGAACAATCCTGCTGCAGTCCAAGTGGATTTTCCTAGAGACAAGCCTTTGTTAAAATATTCTAAAAGTATATGTGGCACCTTCCAATTCTGGGATCCTGGCCTTTCTAAGCACATGCAACACAACCCCCTCGCTTAAGCTACCTGTGAGAGAGCTACAAATGGCAAAACTTCTTTTGCTACTCTAAATATTAATGCATTAAAAGATCTGTCTAGATAGGGAGCAGATCCCTGCTTTAAAAAAAGTAGATAGATTACTATCTATTGCATATTTGTTTACTAAAGAGCAAAGCATATTACTAGCATGCAGGCTTAAAAAGTTACATTTATTCTGCACTGTAGAAACACTGGAAATGAAGAGCCAACAAATCCAATTCCCACAGCTCCATGCAAGGAAGAAGCATATCACCACTTTCTCTGGAAAAGTTAGACAATCGTGATTAACCATATACCCTACAATAACTGCCTGCCAATGTCAGTCATTTGTACCACTGTCAAACATAAAAACTAAAATATGCAAATCACGTGGGTTACATAATCAATAAAGGAAAATCAGAAATTTACTTAAGCTTCCTAAAATGTCCAGAGCATCATACGTTCAAGTTTCAGAGATTTAACACCATTTTACTTTTAAAACTGTCACTTTAAATGTACATGTCAGAGTGCTTCAAATGTAGCATACTAGTTAAAATTCTTCCTGGAAGGTTCTAATGCTGGCAGCTAACTTACTAAAGTTATTCACCCACAGGGTGTTCAAGCAAGAGCATGCTGACTTACAAAGACACCTCATGGGACAAAGAAAATTCTGGTCTGACTTCACAAATTTTCTATAGAGTACTTAAATCCAGAACTGAGGTCAAGATAAGGCCACTCTGAACACAGGCATCCACACAACCAAAGATTTCTGTATCTGTTTTTGGCTGTTTGGGGACCCAAAGTCAAAAGTTCCAGCCCATCAAGCTTACTTTGTTCCCCCTGGCACGTTCCCAGTCCTTGACTAGTCAAGAGATCTAAGGCCATCAAGGAGATGTGAATGTGGCAACATCTAGGGGCAACAAGGCAAGACCTGAGTGGGCAGCCTCTGTCCTAGGTGGTGGGTAGATAAGAGGAAACCCAGGTGAAGAACGAAGAGGAAGAATTACAAATAGGCTTCTATATAAAATATAAAGGGGAAAAGTAGCCTCTGACTCAAACACCTTCAGATTATCTTTTTATTCTTCATAGGTCATAGAGTCAAAGTCTGTTATGGAAGCAAGGTACATTCCAAATGCATTTTGACTGACTATAAAATAAACCAGTTCTTTGAAAACAACACTTAGGAAACTTTCAAATTCATAGGATGTTTCAAATTCATAGGATGTTAAAGTCCCTTCTTCCCTTTAAAGTGGAAACTATGCCTGCTTTTTCCTTTGTATATTCTCCCAAAGCTCAGGCTCCAGGTCATAATCAATACTCTTTTGGTACCTATTTAGAATTGGGGTAACTCTAGACATACACTCCCCTCCTCTCAATGCCTCTATATTAGAATAAATAACATGATGGTATTAGTACTGTAACATCCTAAACCACAATCAGCATTTAGCTTTCTTTTGAAAATTAGAATTAAAAGTATTTCAATAATGACATTAAAATGACAAGGAGGAATATTTAGCTTTTTATTTGGAAGGTATTCACTCTGTTACCCTTAAGACTAAGACCCATAAACTCTATCAATTACCTATTCGTGGAAGAATGACACTGTAAACTGTGGCAATGTCAAAATGTGTACTGCACTTTATAAAAGCATGGATAATATTAAAGGATCACAAAAGGCAGCATTAGCATTCTCTATCCAGGTATTATTAAATCTTTTTATCCCATGCCCCCCTCAAATATAGGAGAATTATTATCTGATAAGCCTGAAACGACTTTTTTAATACCATAACCTAAAAAGACACTTCTTACAGGTGTATGCAACTTTGGTCAGCAGAAACACAATACGAGCCTCTGGCCTAGCTAAGGCACTCTATTCTGAAAGTACGGAAAACATGCACGTATGCTCCTTATCATGGCATTGCTCCCCAAAAGGCAGCTCACTGTATGCTGGGGAGAAAGGCTGGGGCATGAAGTCACCCACAATATCATGCATAAGCCTGAAAGACCTTTCATACTTTGGAAATGTTATAGTAATTGGCATGACATAAATGCACACAGCTATCTGGAATGAAGTCCTGCTTCAGCTGCTATATCTCTACACAACAAATGGGGGCTCTCAAGATGCACTTTCAAGAATGGCAGACAAAACAAGAAAAAGAGTCAGCAGTACACTAAAGATCCTCAAGTATCCTGAAACAGTGAATTGCTCAATTTCACTTTCCCCTTGTTGACAGCTACTTTTCTTTCATCTAACAATGTCAATAAAACTGACTATGGCATCATTCTTTACCACCATAGGGAAACAAGTCATAAAGTACAGCACAAAACAATTTTCAAATAAATTTGATACAACCAAAAGAGGGCAGAAACACACCTTTGAAGTAAAAGGGCCCCCAAACTATAGGACGTGACCTTAAAATGTCAGAAGTAAAGGGTATTTTTACTATACTGTACAAGGTCAAGAAAGCCTGTGGTCCAAGTTTGTCATTTTATAAATATTTATCAGTTCTTTTCTTATATAATACAGATTAATCTCATTCTTGTGTACAAGGTCAACAAAACGGTAAAATAATTAGCTTAGAAATCTTAAAACAAAGCTTTTTCCCTACCCCCAATTAACATTTTATCCAGTTTAATTTTATAGATCACAAAGAACAAGGTATACAAAAAATAGTTACCGTCACTTAATTGGTTAATTCTCTGACTTCCATGATGGCAATTAACAAACATGGGATCACTATCTGCATTATTCTGCATCCATTTCTCATCTATTTCCAACGTTCATCTGTGTCTCAGAGAAAGTCACCAAATACACCTCAACCTTTACAATTTCTTAAAATGAGTATAGAACCATGAGTTAGTGCCGTGACTCATTTCTAATAACTTGAATGACAATGATTGGAATTTATAAATTTTAAAAATGAAATATCAATTACAGTTATTTTTTACAAAGCAGCAGACTGAAATTCAAGAAAGAAATACACTATAATTAAATTTAACAATGGTCACATTCATAAATAGTTATGAATTTAATTACATATCAACACAGTGGTGCCTATTTTATCCAAGTGCAGCCTGTCCAAAAAAAGGGGGTTTAAGATACACTCTTCATTCAAGCACAAACTTCATTCAGTGAAAAATAAAAGAAAATCAGCAAGTAAAGTTCACCACCACCAAATTAAATGAAGACAAAGAAATAGAAGAAAATATCCACATCA
This sequence comes from Homo sapiens, assembly GCF_000001405.40. Lineage (NCBI taxonomy): Eukaryota > Metazoa > Chordata > Mammalia > Primates > Hominidae > Homo > Homo sapiens. The sequence goes on along the minus strand of NC_000002.12, from coordinate 26,390,276 downwards.
TGAAAAAATATGGTTTATAGAACAACTACACTACAATTAAAGGGATTTTTATGTTTGTCAGTAAACCTCAGAAATTACTCCAAGTCATGTTAACATTAAAGGGGGCATGTACTCAGTAAGGCATATATATCAAAAGTTTTCTTCAAGTGGGGAAATGGACAAGCTGGAGAAGAGAGAACTTCTCTCTGTTTTATCTCGTATGAAATAAGAAACACAGCACCTCACCCTGAAAAAAGAAGAGAGGGGAAGGACAGACAGACAGACAAACTGAATCAAAAAATTAATTTTGGTCATAGTGAGGTTCATGAAATTCCTAACTCCAATTTATATTTATCTTACAAGGTACTTTTATCTGCATTCCTCCTAAGTCATTACCATAGGACTGGGACTGTCACATGCATTCCTACAATCAGAGCTCACAGGCACCAAATCTCAGGAACCTGCAGCTGAAGGGGGGAAAATGCCATATTTAAACAATGAACCATCCCAATGGGTGAGCGATAATTACAACCCATTCTCAAATTCTCAACTGATTATTTCTCTTTAGGAGAAAATTAAACCATCTATCAAGATCTGTTCCATAATAAAGAGAGCTAGAATATTAGCTAAATGTATTAGCTCTCTTATCATTTGAGAACAAAAGCCATTTTCAGGGGAAAGAGAAACCAGTATTTGGCAACTGTCTGTTGTTTGGTAATCATTGGCATCTCTTGGTGAAGGTGACTTATTTTTATCCTTTCCCTATACTAGGTTTGGACTACTGCTACTCCCGCTATTACAAAGTTCCAAATATGAAAACACACTGTGGTTTTCTGAGTGTTATCAGTGTTCTGAAACCAATTTTGGTACTTAAAAAATAAAAACAAAGCATCTTTAACCCTGCATGAATCACAACATTGTAAACTCACGAAGTTAGAACCATTAGGAACATTTTGCTGGTCTAACGTACATTCTGCTCAACCAAAATGTCACATAGTTTTATAAAAAATAAAATAGGCTTAGAGTTAGTAGGTCCAAAATTTCCCAAGTTCAGATTATATGTATCATTCCTGCTGTCCAAGTACCATACTGAGATCCCACGTCTGTCAAGCAGATCAGTCTAGTTCAATGGTGATGGAGGAAATATTTACAAGCATTTATTTACAGTACTTCTTTGTGCCCAAAGAAAGATTATTACAGGCCAATATTCTTTTCTTCCATTCCTAGTCAATCTGAGTTTGGTTTCCTCAATGAGAAGGGGTAAATCTGAAAATGGCTGCTCAGCTGCTTTACCTATGAAAAATCAGAACATGAGACAGTGACAAATATGTACCTTATTGTTTTTTAAAAGCACACAGAATTTACCCCCTAGAGATAACAATTTATTGACACGGCAAAAATCATGAGAAATACTGAAAAGGTTTTTCTGGATTAGGATAGCTATAGAACTAGACAGCTAAATGGAAGTACTAGAACTAACATGGGAAAGTTAGGACTTAGAACTAAAATCTAGTCTTGAGAACCCTCCAGAGCACTCAAATTCACATCCAAATCTGAAAAACTATAGGATTAGTTGACCTGTAGCATCTAGATCAAGTAATCATATTTATAGTTAGACTCTATATTCAGCTTGCTAAACATTTCTAAGTAATCATTCCTAATCCCGATGAAATAGTACAAAACTAGATCTATGAATTTGGAGAGGCCTTATTAGTTAGGGTATCTCTAGTGGGAAGGCAAGAGCTTAGTTATAGGTCAGCGAGTGCATGTCATTTACTTGATACTTATTATTTACATTTCAGCAGTTCAAGTGAATGTTTTGTGTGGCCTAGCAAGTTTTAACTTCTGGCCAGAAGTTGTAGATGTGGTAAAAGAACACAAAGACAGATAAAAAAGATGATCCTAAATTGTTTTCCAGTTAGCGTGTTATTTATTTTCCAGGTTTTTAACAATGAAAATGTAGTACCTTTATCATTTAAAGAAAAGTATATTTTGGTTTGGTTTGGTATGTATGTAGCTTTCTAAAGATATGCTTCTAAAAGGCTATAGTAAATGAAAACAATTAAAAAAGACACTGGCAAATGGATATTCTATGCCATGCATATATTGATGAAATATCAGGATAAAGGCCGAAGAGTATTGATATAAGGTATATAAGGTTACATTTGTACAAATAAAAACAAAAATAATTATGTCTTATATCACAATTCATCACAGCTTTTTTCTCCTTAACAATTGTATCTAGTTTGTTCTAACAAATGAGGGCAACTTTGTAGAGAAACACTAAGGGAAGAAAGCCCAAGTTTAGCAACATATGCAAGGTATAAAGTTGTTATCAAGCATGATAGCTGCCTCTCCCACTTAAAAACTGTGTGTGAAAATACAGAAGATATTTTGTTTCTCAAACGGATTAACAGCAGGGTTCCTTTCAAACAAGCATACCAAATAGAAGTGTTTTAAGAGTCATAAAAATGTGAATACCCTGTCACAACCCCATTCCTATGAAATTATCCTCGGAAAATAAAACAAATGAAACAAAAATATTCGAGATTGTTTATGCCAACATTTTTTTTCTTTCTTTTTCTTTTTTTTTTTTTTTTTTGAGACAGGGTCTCACTTTGTCACTCAGGCTGGAGCACAGTGGCACCATCTCAGCTCACTGTAGCCCCGACCTCCTGGGCTCCAGCGATCCTCCCACCTCAGCCCTCCAAGTAGCTAGGACTACAGGCCTGTACCACCACATCTGGCTAATTTTTTTTTTGTATTTTTTGTAGAGACAGGGTTTCACACTGTTACCCAGGGTGGTCTCGAACTCCTGAGCTAAAGCGATCCACCCGCCTCAGCCTCTCAAAGGGCTAGGATTACAGGCATGAGCCACCACACCCAGCCTAGGGCAATATTTATAATGGTGAAAATCTGGAAACAACCTAAATGATTAAAATAACTGTACTGTGCAAGGTCATTATTAAGTAATCTCCTTGGTGGAATATTGCACAGCCTATGTTAAAAATGTAAAATAATTAGAAAAGAATGTTAAAGTGAAAGAAAAACCACATGGTTCCATTTGATTTCATTATATCTATATTCGTCCATTCTCCTAAAATTAGTTTATTTTAGAAGAAAATATCAAGTTTACAAAACATTTCTCAAAATCCCTTTTCTTCTATATTTCCCCTTATTTATCAATTTTGCTGATGAGGGCTCGAGAATAACATAAATGAAGTAAAACCTCAAATAATGCCAAAGTCTTCCTTCAGTCAGAAATTCTAATCTCCCTCACCACAACTGCTTAGCAAACTGGGCAGTGGGAGGGAAAAAGCACTACACAACCAATTACATTTCTTTCCAAATTTTGTTAATGAACAATAAAAATGCCCCTAAAGCTAAAGAAGCAAGTGAAGAAATAGATAATTAACAAATGTGATTATCTGATCCCATATAACTAAAGGCTCAGTTTACAATTCTACTCACCAAGAAGATGGCTTATACATACCCACTTACAGTAATAACTAATTCCTCACAATAATTATCCAGCTTTAAAATCATTTGTTATTACAGTAACATACTCATTAGAGAAACAATATCTGAAATTAAACATCTGGATATTATCCAAAATTTAGAGAATATCCCAAAACCCTTACAGCTACTATAATAAGCAACTTTCTTTTTAAAATTTTCCATTGCCTCCTTTCTACTCGGAGGCATTTATTGGTGCCATTTATAAGCCCCAAATTGAACCCATTTTGCTGTAGATTACTCACCACTCGTACTCCATAATGGATGTGGGCCAGAGTAAAAGCAGTTGTTAATGTATACAGGAGAATGCTCTCAACGTAAGAGGCTACTCCTAGGTTTACCACTAAGACAACCAAGAAGAGAGGAACCAGCAACCAATTCAAAGTTGGACACCGGGTACTACTCATTTGGCAAACAATCAGCTGACACTGGACGTCAATTTAAAAAAATAAGAGAGAAAAAAAGAAAAATTTCATTAGCAAAGCACTTCCAAAACTAGTCTTTCCAACATTTGAAAAGCATTCAAGTACCTGAACCAACACACTTACATTATCTAAGTTCAGAAGTTCTCAATGCTTAGGGGCCCAACTGGACCCCTGGCCCTGCCCAAAAACCCATGTAACCTCAGAGTGTGTGTCAGAAGAGGCTGGAAGATAACTGAATAAGGATGCTATAGAAGGCATTCTCCCACTGGGCAACAGTTTGAATAAAAGAAATTTCTCTCAATTTTAAGATTCTACGATATGTTAAAAAAAAAAATCAAAATAGCCTCCCACACCCCCACACAATTAAGTTTCTTTATGGCAATGATGAAGAAGTGCTATCTCCAATTCAGTCCCATTGCCATAATTAGTATCTCAAAACCTCTTTGGCTCCTTTATTTTTGAAGACCTTACTTGAATATAATTTAATTCTTTCAGAGACACTTTTTATACAATGCATTAGTGTTTTTAGATATTTAAACCCTATAAAATCAGCAAGACTTGAGATATTACACACGTTACAAACATGGAAACATAAGATGAGTAGCTAAGTTACAAAATAAAAACTTCTAAGGACCCAGCCTGAGCTAGAACACAGACCTTCTGGCTTTCAGGACTATCAGAGTCTTTTCTCAACTCCTGATCTCTGCTTCCTGTCTGCTCTCTTGCACAGTCCAGCATGGAAAGGAATTTATAAGAATATGTTCTATTTATTACAAAGTTTTAAATTCCACGTTCTTAATCTTAAAATCAGCTGATTTTTAAAGTGTGTGTTTTCTCTTTCTCAAAAATCTCTTCCAAGCTTCCTAGAATAATCATTTAAGTCTGCAGCTATTTTAGCCATACTGGTAATATATTTAGAGTCTAAAGGGAATCTATAAATTTTTTCCATGAATTCTTCAGCGGGCAACCAAAATAAAAAATTTAAGTGTGCCATAGTTCCAAAATACTACTGTAGTCTCCAATCCTATTGGTTTCAAAGGGCAAAATAAAATAATTTTCAGCATTTCAGTCTTTGAGGTTACTATTCTTTCAAATTTCTGAAATAAAAATCTTTAAGTTAAAATCTGTTTATTCTAATATTAAAGATTTTTCAAATTATCAAATTCTGTCATACAATCCTAATATATATTATGATTTTTAAAAGAAAAAAATCTTACTGTACTGTTGGCAAAAGCTGTTCCAACCATAAAGTAGAATACTCTAGGATGTAGCTCTAAAATATCTGAAGGTGACCAAAGGATCCACGCTGTAGACAAAATGAACAGCAAGCATGGAGAAAATAAGGGAACCATAGCTTCATAGACTGAATTGAGTTTCAAGGTGTTATTTTTATAGCTTCTGGAAAAAAAAATCAAGTAATATAAAGAACATTATTACATATAAATTGTACAGTACTTGTACTGTAGTTTATAGTTTCCTTATTTATACACTTATTTTATACTCACAATAATCTTGTGGCATAGACAGAACCAACATCATTAATCCCATTTTACAGACAGGCTAAGTGAGGATAAGAGAATTTAAATTTACAAAACTTGGTACCAAGTGGCAGGGCCAGGATTAGGACTGAAATCTTCTGACCTCTAATCCCATTTTTTTCTCTTTAAACCAAACTATCAACTGCTGTGCTAAGAATATAAAGATGAATAAAATCTGGACTTTGTTCTATGAGATATTCTAATGGGGTAAATAAGATGAACATAAAATACTAGAAGAGTACCTCAAAGTGCGGCTTTGACACAAAGTGATAGAGAACTTAGAGTAAGACAGCTCACAATGAAAGACTCTGAGGTGCGACTGGCATACCACATCTCAGTGTCTCTAAGCACACAGGAGGTTATACAATACACGCCTGCTCAGCTGAACAGAGCTCCAAATTCCAGTCCTGCTTCCGCCATTGATCACACGACCTCGGGCAATATGTTGCCCAATGAGAGCCTCGTTGTTATAAAATGAGAAGAAAATGTAGAGAAATAATCTCTACATCCTTCAGAGCTTTAAACTGTATGGCTTCTATAAATAACTGCCAGCTCAAATAAATGAAGAAGATTAATAGCGCTTGGTTTAACATAAATAAGATTCTGCTACGCAGATTTGAGAGCTAAAGGATGAAGTGGGAAGTGTAAGAAAATGTTTCAACCAGAAGAAAAAGGAGCAAAGGAAGCAGTGGGAGTAAAATTACTAAGAAGGGAAAGAGCAAAATATATTCAGGACACAATAGGCAAATTCAGTGTGGCTGAGCAAAAGTGGAGAAGCACATAGATCAGAGAAATGAAACTCCACCTGAGCATCTCCCTTCTCCCCGCAACCCAGACAGGAACTTCTATATAAGGGCTATTTAAGAAAAGTCAGCACAGGTCCAGTTTGGTCCTAAACTACACACATTCAGAATTTTTATGATCTTGCTAAAATTTTTTTTTTTTGAGACAGAGTCTCGCTCTGTTGCCAAGGCTGGAGTGCAGTGGCGCGATCTCGACTCACTGCAACCTCCGCCTCCCAGGTTCAAGCAATTCTCCTGCCTCAGCCTCCTGAGTAGCTAGCATTACAGGCATGTGCCACCACACACAGCTAATTTTTTTATTTTTAGTAGAGACGGGTTTCACCATGTTGGTCAGGCTGGTCTCGAACCTGACCTCGTGATCCGCCCACCTCGGCCTCCCAAAGTGTTGGGATTACAGGTGTGAGCCACCGCGCCTGGCCTCATTAGAAGACTATTTGATGAGTCCAAAACCGTAACAAAAGAACTAGTAGTTTTGTGCTGTGTTTGAAATGACTACATTAGCCACCATCGACACCCTAAACTATCCTACCCCATTAAAGATTTAAAATATAGGTTTTGTGACCTTTTCAAAATGTCCTGACTCCAAAAGGAAAATAGATCCCTAAGTTCAGCTAACAACTGCTAAAACTTTTCATATTTCTTGCCCATTTAAAAAATAAAATACTTACCTGAAAAAGTTTAATAAACTCATTGGAAGAGTCACACATAATGCACAACCTAAAGGGAATAATTATTCAATTATTATGCTTATTCAAGAGCAATTATTACATTACCACTGAATCATGCAAAACAAATTTTTTTAGACCCCAAAAATTTCAGGTTCAAGTTTACTTGTGTAATAAAATTAAATACATTTATAAACAACATTTACAACAGGAAGAGTGGCAGTACAATTTGGTGATTCAGAGGGCAGACTCAAAAAGCCAGCTGGGCCTCAATTTCAGTTGTACCATGAACTGATTACGGGACTTCAGGCAAATTGGTGTTTTACTGCCTCAGTTTCCTTATTTATAAAATAGAGATAATAGTTGTACCAACCCCACAGAGCTTTGAGAAGTGAATGAGTTATGACATGTTAAGATACCTAGAACAGTATGGGGTACTGAAACTGCACAGTAAGCATGAGCTACTCAAAGGGGGAATCCTGTTGCTTCACATTTATTTTTTACCTTCCTAGCTTTTTTTTTTTTATGGAAACAGGGTCTGGCTATATTCCAGGCTGGTCACGAACTACTGGGTCAAGCAATTCTCCTACGTCAGGCTTCTGAGCAGCTGAGACTACAAGCATGAGCCACCACACCCAGTCTTCCTAGCATTTTCAGTTTCTCCCCCTAGCTACTTCCATTCGCACACTGGTTCTCTCCCCATAAACTTTAAAACAAAGATGGCCTTCCCAAGAAACCCTCCTATTGATTCTGCTGTCCTCACTATCTACTATCTTCTGCTTTGTCTTATCATTTGCTAAACTTTTCAATTGTCCTCAATTTCTTAGCACTTTTTTATTCACTGTGTTCCAACTTTGCAGAAATTATACTCTTGAAATTTACCAAGCTTTCCTAATGTTCAAATTCAGTATCGTTTTTTCATTCCTGACTGCTAAGTGAAATGCCTTGGTTGACTATCCACTAAACTGAAATTCTTTCCTCCCTTTGCCTTTGTGATGCCATTCTCCCTATGTTTCCGCTAGCCATCTCACCATTTCATTCTGTGTCCTTTGTTGCCAATTCTACTTCCTGCATATTACTACCTGGGTGCCCCACCGTACTTATACTCTCTCTCTCTCAGAATCCCTCTTAAAGCACAACTACAAGCTTACAACAGATGACTGCAATATCTAATTATGGACTCTTGGACAAACTCTAATAATCTGAACTTCAGATTCCAGTTGTACAATGGGGATGGGTTGAACTATTTTCTAGTGTCCCTTACATCTTTAAAATTCTTTGATCCTATGATCTATAGTGATATAAGTTCCTAATTATTTTCTCTCTCAAACTCCAAATCAATATATCTGGCAAGCTGCTGGGCACTTCATTTGGATGTTCCATTGTCATGCAACATATTAGCCCCAGTTTGTCTCTTCCAGACACCTGGTGACTCTACTTGGTTTGAGGGTCAATGCAGCTATGGCCTTAAAGATTAAAGGCAGAAAACATTCCTTCTAAACAATTCCTAAGACATCTGGCTTAAAACAGAAGACTAGAACCCAACAGAAATCTTATCTCTAAAAAGAATTACTCTGCTACTTCCAAGCCCAAGTAGAACAAAGTTCCCCAAATTAGACGAACTTAGAGGGAAAGGAAGGAGAAGACCACCTGAGGTCCTCAGTGTTCTCAGAAATTTTTAGCAGCTTACTCCACGTCAAGCTGGGAAGCACCAAAGGGGAGCCAAGGCTAAATGAATTAATGCAGAATTACTTGTAGCTCTGAGGTGTTGGAAATAGGCTGAGACAAACTAGCAAAAGATTTGCCACCAAGAGTAATTTTAGTTTTAAAAATCTTGAAATAACTATCTCAAGTATAGTGAGCATGTAGAAAGCCGGAGCTCTATACAGGCTGCCAAAGAGAAACGCTGCATCTTCTGTTTCTTCTTTATAGTACTTAATGTACTTTCTGAAACGAGTACTTAATTGTTAAATACTTATCTATGAAGCTCTATGTTTCAAGTAGAGAACAGTGATAGAGACCATATATATGTAGACCCGCTTTTCATCTTGCACAAGTGAAGGCCCAGACTTCATAATATAGGAAACTTAACAGCTAGAGAAAAATTGGAGTAGAATTTGTAAAAAAAAAAAAAAAAAAAAAAAAAAAAAAAGACCAAACTGAAGGAGATACAATCCAAGGATAGCATGGTCATAAAAAATATTTTCATTCCTCACATTTCCAGTTTATTTATTAAGTAGGTACACTTCAGTTAAAACCACCAAGACAAAAAGTACCTTAAGAAAAGTTAAAAAGAGAAACAATAATGGGGAAAACTATAATCTATATCAAAGGATTAATATACCTAATATATGAATAGCTTCTAAAAATAAAGGAAATGGCCAACAACCCTATAGAAAAAAAAATCTGTTTGAGAGATGTAAAATATGCAGAAAAGGACATACAAACGGCTCTTAAACACTAGAAAAGCTCATTCATAGTAAGAGAAAGGCAAATTAAAACTGTACAGACACATCATTTCTTACCTATCAGATTGGCAAAAAGTCAAACGTTTGACAATATACTATGTTGGTAAAACTGTAAATTAACAAGCACTTTCATACACTGCTGGTAGGAACAGAAAATCACACAACCCATATGTAGGGGAATATGGTAATTTTAAGCAAAACAGCACACATTTGTCCTCTACTAGCAATTCTACTTCTAGGGACCTCTTCCTCAACACCCTGGCAAAAAATATGAAAAGACTGATGTACAAGACTATTCACTGCAGCAATTTGTACAACAGCAAAAACTGGAACTAACCCAAATGTCTATTGATAGGGGGATGGTTGGACACACTACGGTACATCCACACAATGAAGTGCCAGGCAGCTGTAAGAGGACTGAGGAGGCTCCTTATAGACCACTGTGGAGTGATCGCTGGGATATACAATTAAGAGGGGGGAGGAAAAAAGGCACAGTACATAGTACAGTACATATAGAATGGAATGCTACCATGTATCTATGAAAGTGAGTGATAAAATGAAACACAAATATTTACTTATAGTAAGAAAGAAACAATGAAAAGATAAGCCATAAAATTAAAAACTAAGAATGGTTACCTCTGAGGAAAGAAAGGATTGGGTAACAACAGAAGCTAGACTTCTTTGAATATACCTCATTCTGTAAATTTGACTTTATCACAAATATTTTACATAATTATAAAGGAAAAATGAATTTTAAAAGAGAAAGTAATTCTTAAAGTAAAACAAATAAACCTAGATGTATAAATCCACAACTGGTGGCATAACCACAGAGTGGTGACTTTAAAATACAGTAAACTGACGGGACACACCTAGTGGGATAAGACGTAAGGATGAATAAAACTGCAAAAAAACAAAATCTTAATTTTCAGTTTTCCTCTGTTTGCTGATTTAGGTACTGTATTCGGAGACTGTTGTGAATAGTTCATGGAATAAAGCAAATGAGTATTCTGTGTCACTTAAAACCAAGGATTTTGTCATAGTTTAAAGGAGATAAAAATATAAGATCAATGAGGTTAAGTAAAAATTCTGTACTACCAAATTTGCTTTGGAATTATCAGTATGTATTTATGAAGTATTTTATCATAAAAACTTGATTTCCTTACCTATCCACTGAATGAATGAATTCCTAAGCCATGTTAATCAATGTCTGTTAATATTATTAGGTGAAGTTTAACCCTTAATAGTTTAAGGTAGCAGGTTAAAATATATATATATATATACTTGCAGCAGATGGAACAGACATACAAAACCTGAACCCGCTACATGCCTCCTAATGTGATGCAATAGGAAGACCAGTACCTAATAACACTGTTCCCCAGCATGCCCCCCAACCCCCAAAATTAAACCTGTATCAAAATAAGCTCACAGATCTAACTATTGTTTATAGGAAAAGTGAGGGGCAGAGGAACATGTTAATGCCATGAGACCGCAACCAGGAAAACGCAGAATCTAAGAATTCTATTGGCCAAATGACCTACTTTCTTCAATACATAAACTTCAAAGAAAAAATAGGGAAAAGCTACGTAGATTAAAAGAAATTTTTTAATTAGTTATTTATTTTAGAGACAGAGTTGCGCTCTTCTCACCCAGGCTGGCAATGGTGCAATCTTGACTCACTGCAACCTCCACCTCCCAGGTTCAAGCGATTCTCCTGCCTCAGCCTCCCGAGTAGCTGGGATTACAGGCATACGCCACCACACCCGGCTAATTTTGTATTTTTAGTAGAGACCACATTGGCCAGGCTGGTCTCAAACTCCTGCCCTCAGATGATCAGCCTGTCTTGGCCTCCTAAAGTTCTGGTATTATAGGTGTGAGCCACAGCACCCAGCCAGATTAACAGAAATTTAAAAGGCATACCAACCAAAGGCAATGTATAGGTACTCGGCAGCTATAGAAATACATCAATTGTGGTTCTTTTACAGAAAACCTTATCATTTAGAGATACACAGTGAAATATTTACGGATGAAAAGAAATGATATCTGGGATTTGCTTTAAAATAATCTAAAGGAAGGAAGGCATCTGTTAATGATGGCATAAAAAGGGAGGACAATTCTTCTCACAAATGATGATTAAAAACCAGACAAAAATATTTAAAACAACTACTTGAAGGTACTAGAAAATACTGAAGGACAGACAGAAATTCGAGAAGCATTTACACTTGAAACACTGGGGAACAACTCTGAGTTCGTGGCTTGCCTACCCCCTGTCCCAGACCAGATGATGGAAAGCCACAGTCTTCCTTACCAGCTTATGGAAGCAGATAATAGATTCAGAGCAGCAGAGGAACTAGAAAGCAGGGTGGGGGATATTGTAGAAGAGAGAGATGCAGAAGGGTTGAGATTCTAAATCTGAGTATATGCTCTGCCCAGATTCCTGGGTGGATGCTAAACTAAGCAAGCAAATCGGAGACCCCACAGAACATAGTGAAAGAGAAGGCAGAAAGTAGAGGAGATGCTGTGCTTGAAAGACAGAGGTGTTCTTGGTGAGATGTGAGTCTGCTGTATCTCTTACTAAGTGTGTTCCCAACCCACACTCAGACTGGGCTGAAGAAGGCAGAGCCCTTACTGGCTTGAGGGTTGGGGGCAGAACACAATTGCTGGAAGAGCAGCCGAAGATTCAGATGGGGAAACCCCAAAAGCAAAAAAATCATAGAGAGGTGAGCGCCAAAATCTCAGTATCGACTTTGCCCAAATCTTTGGCTGACCACTAAACTACACAGACACAAAGGAGACCCCCAAGAGACCTGGCTAAAAAAGCAGCAGCTAAAAGCTGAAAATAACCAAACAGAGACAAGAGCTACTTAATACAATGTGATGGGACAAATTTCTTCATCTGTGTCCAAACAAGTTAAATGCCTATCAGAACAAAAAACCAAAAATCCTCAGAGCAGAACAGATTATAGTCTCCACAAATATAATCTATAATATCCAGTTTTCAACAACAACAAAAAAAAAATTGCTAGGTATGCAAAGAAATAGAAAAAAAAGCAGTCAACAGAAAATGACTCTTAAGTGGGCCCAGATGTTGGACTCAGTAGACAGACTTTAAAGCAGCAATTTTAAATATGTTCAAAGAACTAAAGGAAAATATGATGATAATAATGAACAGAAGAATCTCAACAGAGAAATAGAAAGTTTAAAAACCAAATGGAAATTCTACAGCTGAAAAGTACAATAACTTTTTTTTTTTTGAGACAGGGTCTGACTCTGTTGCCCAGGCTGGAGTACAGTGGCACAATTACAGCTCACTGCAGCCTCGACTTCCTGGGCTCAAGTGATCCTCCTGCCTCAGCCTCCCAAGTAACTGGGACTACAGGCATGCACCACCATATTTGGCTTAATTTTTCTATTTTTTTGTAGAGACGTGATCCCACTATGTTACCCAGGCTGGTCTTGACTTCCTGGCCTCAAGCAATCCTCCCACCTCAGCCTCTCAAAGTGCTGGGACTACAGGTGTGAGCCACCGCACCCAGGGAAAAGTACAATAACTTAAATGAAAGACTTCCTAGATGGGCTCAACAGCATATTGGAGATGGCAGAAGAAAAAAAAAGCAATGAATTTAAAGACAGATGAATAAAAGTTATCCACTACAAAGAATAAAGAGATTAAAGAAAACTTAATAAAGCCATAGAAAATTACTTTTAGGACAGTATCAGGCAAACCTGTGTAACACACATGTAAGTGGGGTCCCAGAAAAGAAGAGAGAGGGGAAGAAAAAATATCTCAAGAAGTGAAACTGTGACTGAAAACTTCACACATTCAGTCAAAAATACTTACAGGTCCAACAGAGTCAACAGCTCAACAAATACCAAGAAAGACAAACACAAAGAAAACCACACCTAGGTACATCACAGTCAAACTTCCGAAAGCCAAAGATAAAAAGAGAACCTTGAAAGCAACAAGAGAAAAATAATACATTACAGAGTGACAATGATATATGAGCTGACTCAGAAACAATGGATGTCAAAAGACATTAAAATGATATATTCAAAATGCCAAAAGAAAAAATTCAGGCAAAATCAATACACTTTCACGTAAGTAAAAAGAGAGAATAAACTGCTACCAGACCTGCACTATAAAAAAACCTAAAGGAAGTCCTTCAAACTTCTGGGAAAGAACACCACATGGTAGGTCAAATATAAGGCAAATATGTCAGTAAGTAAATAAACTGTATATTATAACACAACCCGGGGGCTAAGCAGGGGGCTAAAGAGTACTGGTGCATTTCAAACAAGATTGGCACTGGTATTGAAAATAGTTGAGACTGGGTAATAGTACACAGGGGTTTATTATATAAAAGTAGAAACATTATAAAGAAAATTATGTGCCTATTAGAGTACACACTTAACATTAAAAAATATGTCTCATATACCAGAGGATTCTGTCTTATCTAAATTTAACACTTAAATGTAACATGCAGGAAACCTGCCATGGGACAATCAAAAGGGTCACTACATAATTGGAGAAGAAAAATAGCATTTTTGAGGTAAAGAAAAAACAGTTTATACAGGTATCAAAAATGAACATTTGATAGATTTCAAGATAGTTCCTAAAATATGCACAGTCTAGAGCTACAGAAAAAAGCCCAAACCACTCCTTTTCTGAAAGCCAGTGCCTAATATACCATCTTCTAAACAGTTTCTAAGCCTTACCTAATTCCCATTCCATTACCAAGGTTCACCAAATGGGAAAGGGTTATTTTTTATTTATTCTTTTTTTTTTTTTTTTTTGAGACAGGGTCTCGCTCTGTCACCCAGGCTGGAGTGCAGTGGCACATGCGATCATAGCTCACTGGGCTCCGGTAATCCTCTGACCTCAGCCTCTCAGGTAGCTAGCATTACAGGTGCACGCACCACACCTGATTAACTTTAGTTTTTTCTAGAGACAGGGTTTCACTATGTTGCCCAAGCTGGTCTCAAACCCCTGGGCTCAAGAGATTCTCCCACTTTGGCCTCCCAAAGTGCTGGGATTACAGGCATGAGCCACTGTGTGTGGCCTATTTTTTAGATAAGAGAACAGAATACAGGACATAGCCCACACATATACCTTTTTACTTCTACAAAGGTTCTCAGTGCCACTCCTGGGGCCCCTAAATAACCATCTAGATTTCTCTTTACACTCGTTCCATACCACTAATACCCTCTCCACTCAGTCAATCATCCTACAGATATCCCCTTCAGCTAAAATCAAAACAGAAAGATTACCACCATAAAAAATCTTTAGCAATCAGTGGGTTAAGAAAGAGGATATCTGAGAGGAATAGAAGCTTAATTTTTTGAGTGGATACATTATAAAATAATCTCTACATTTCATCTGTCCTGTATTTCATACAAACTAGTAATTTTCAACTTTGAGATAAATATAAAACCTGTACCAAATGTGGACCCTCCAATACAGCCTAGGTTAATTTGAATAGTCACTTTATCAGGCTTATGTGATCTATTTTGGTATTTCCCTCTGATTAGAAATAGCTGATGCTGAACAAAAAAACCCCAAAAACAGGGAAACCTTATTTTTCTTAATGGTTAGGCTGAAATCCTACAAGGTTGTAGGGTTGTTCTGCTTCCTGGAGGTTTTGTGAGGCAAAGGGTGTTGTTGCTTGTTATAGTCAAATACCGGCTCTTTTGATAACAAAGTGATGGTTAAAACAGGCTTCAACATGGAGCTTCTTACCAATAATCATTGCAGTGAATAGGTCTCTATATAAGAAATTAAACAGGAAAGGTTCATACCAGGCCTCAACTCCCACAACTGCAGTCACTATGTAGACAAAAGAAATAGTCTGGAAGGAAAATGCAGACAAAAGCATACAGAAGCATTAACGCTAGAAAGATCAGGAGTCACCATGCTTTATGCAGCATTAAGTCAAGTCAAACAGTTTTAGTAAAGGCAAGAAGTATGCTTATATTTGGTATGTGGCAAGTCTTCTTACCTTTAAAAATACAATCTTTTGGCTGGACGTGGGGGCTCATGCCTGTAATCCCAGCACTCTGGGAGGCCAAGACGGGCAGATCACCTGAGGTGTCAGGAGTTCCAGACCAGCCTGACCAACATGGAGAAACCCCATCTCTACTAAAAATACAAAATTAGCCAGGCGTGGTGGCGCATGCCTGTAATCCCAGCTACTTGGGAGGCTGAGGCGGAAGAATCGCCTGAACCCAGGAGGCAGAGGTTGCGGTGAGCCGAGATCACACCATTGCACTCCAGCCTGGGCAACAATAGCGAAATTCTGTCTCAAAAAAAAAAAAAAAAAAATACAATCTTTTAGCCAACAATGCTATAAAATAACTAACTTGTAGACAATGCAAGCAACTGGCCATCATTTGGAGCACTTTAACAGCAACTCATAAATTGGTTAAGTTGTAAGATGATCCAAATTTACCCACCCAACCACTTCAACAAACACTCCAACTTCTGATTTCTTTACTGGAGACTTAGGTGCAAATGGGCAAAATGGCAACACAAAAAGCTGGGATTCAAGGCAGGGAGAGTTAATAGCAAGGCCATTAAAGTAAGAAAAAAGAAATCTCTCTACACACTGAAAAGGTGGCAATGAACACAAAAAGCCAACCATTCAATTATATGTGCATATCTTTCTTTCCAAAATCAAGAGTTCAAATGAACATGCAATAACATTAAGAAATGGTTAAATTTTTGGTGTAATACTGGCATTGTGATTGTTTTTTTAAAGGAAGCTTTTATCATTTAGAGATATATAGCGAAGTATTTATCATATAATATCAGAAATTTCCTTTAAAATAATTGAGAAGGGTCGAGCACGGTGGCTCATGCCTGTAATCCTAACACTTCGGGAAGCCAAGGCAGGAAGATCACTTGAGGTCAGGAGTTAGAGACCAGCCCAGCCAACATAGTGAAACCCTGTCTCTACTAAAAATATAAAAATTAGCCAGGCGTGATAGTGGGCACCTGTAATCTCAGCTACTCGGGAGGCCTCAGCCTCAGCAATGGGTACATTAGGGTCTATTCTCTCTACTTTTTCCTAAATATTCTCTCTACTTTACTATTCACTATACTATTCTATTTTTGAAATTTTCCATAAATAAAAATAAAAAATTTTTAAGTACATATCAATTCTAATCAAAAAAGCCTAAGAGCAATAAATAAGCAATGACAAAAGCTTTCCAAAAGTATCATGGTAATACTGAAAATTTAAGGTAGAACACATACTTACCACCTGGCTAATGTCATATCCCCATGGCAGGAAAAGAATCCCTGTGTTATACTTTTCCCAGTGGGACAGGATGAAAGAAAACAAAACTACCCATAGCAGGAGATAAAGAACAAAAACACTGACACCAGTTGATCCTCTTCCAAAGATGGAATAAACAGTCACAACAAAGTAAACACATGACCAACTATCCAGGCCATGATCAAAAAGCTCCCCTAAGGGAGTGCTAGAATTGGTTCTGCGAGCTTGCTTTCCGTCCACACCATCTGCAACAAAAACAAACCACAGGAAAAGTTCAACGTATGCACCAGGATGGAGAAAGTCTTCTTTAATAAACTGGAGGAAAAAACAAAACAAATCAGCTTATCACAGGAATGTTAAGTATAGCTATCAGCTGGTACTATAAAAATCTAATTATTTAATTCTACACTTCAAAGAGTTTAGGGCCAGGCACAGTGTCTCACACCTGTAATCCCCACACTTTGGGAGGCCAAGGCAGGAGGATCACTTGAGCCCACAAGTTTGAGACCAGCCTGGGCAACATAGCAAAACTCTGTCTTTACAAAAAATTTAAAAATTAGCCACGCATGGTGGTGCGCACCTGTAGTTCCTGCTACTCAGGAGGCTGAGGTGGGAAGATTGTTTGAGCCCAGGAGTTTGAACCTGCAGTGAGCTATGATCATGCCACTGCATTCCAGTCTGGGCAACAGAGCGAGATCCTGCCTCTAAAAAAAATTTTAAACAAAAAACAAAGATTTCAGAAATAAAATATATAATTCTTCAAAGTTTAATCTAAAAATCAAAATGTCATATTACACTGAATGGTGTCAATTTTAGATCTGAGAAAGTAGCATTTTAGTTGGAGTCTGAATACCTCCAAATCTATGGAACAATTGGGTTGTTTCACTAGCTACAAATTCTCAAGCTTCCAGCGAACATGCCATAGTAATTCATCACAACTTATCTCACCCCTCCTTGCTCTAGGATCCAAAAGTACTTCAGTCACAACATCTATTCTATCCTGTTTGAAATCATAATCACTTCTTTATAGACCTACTGCCTCCATAATTTTAAATGCTTTCAGAAAATGCACACAGTGGATATTCAGCAAATATAAGAATTGAATTTACTGAAACTAATGCACTATTCTTGGTGCTATAAGGATTGGAAGAATCTTAGAATAAACTGTGCCCTCAGAGAATTTACAATTGAGAAAGGAACAGGCCGGGTGTGGTGGCTCACGCCTATGATCCCAGCACTTTCGGAGGCCAAGGCAGGAGGATCCCCTGAGGTTAGGAGTCCAAGACCAGCCTGGCCAACATGGCCAAACCCTGTCTCTACTAAAAATACAAAAACTTAGCCGGGGATGGTGCACACCTGTAATCCCAGCTACTCGGGAGGCTGAGGCAGGAGAATCGCTTGAACCCAGGAGGCGGAGGTTGCAGTGAGCTGAGATCACACCATTGCACTCCAGCCTGGGCAACAAGAGCGAAACTCTGTCTCAAAAATTAAAAAGAGAAAGGAACAAAACATGATAATAAAGGTATGGTATATCACAAACCATAAAAGAGTACAGATAAGGGAAAGGTTCTCTTTAGGCTAAGATAATCTAGAATGGCTTTTCAGGCAAGTGAAATCTGAGTAGAGGACATAAAGAATGAGTTGGATTTCAGCTGATAAGAGATAAAGAAGTATGTCATTTCAAGAGGAGGGAATGCGCTCCCTCTCCCTCTCCCTCTCCCTCTCCCCATGGTCTCCCTCTCCCCATGGTTTCCCTCTCCCCATGGTCTCCCTCTCATGCCGAGCCGAAGCTGGACTATACTGCTGCCATCTCGGCTCACTGCAATCTCCCTGCCTGATTCTCCTGCCTCAGCCTGCGGAGTGCCTGCAATTGCAGGCGCACGCCGCCACGCCTGACTGGTTTTCGTATTTTTTTGGTGGAGACGGGGTTTCGCTGTGTTGGCCGGGCTGGTCTCCAGCTCCTAACCGCGAGTGATCCGCCAGCCTCGGCCTCCCGAGGTGCCGGGATTGCAGACGGAGTCTGGTTCACTCAGTGCTCAATGGCGCCCAGGCTGGAGTGCAGTGGCGTGATCTCGGCTCGCTACAACCTCCACCTCCCAGCCGCCTGCCTTGGCCTCCCAAAGTGCCAAGATTGCAGCCTCTGCCCGGCCGCCACCCCATCTGGGAAGTGAGGAGCGCCTCTTCCCGGCCGCCATCACATCTAGGAAGTGAGGAGCGTCTCTGCCCGGCTGCCCATCGTCTGGGATGTGGGGAGCGCCTCTGCCCCGCCGCCCCGTCTGGGATGTGAGGAGCGCCTCTGCCCGGCCGCCACCCCGTCTGGGAGGTGAGGAGCGTCTCTGCCCGGCCACCCCGTCTGAGAAGTGAGGAGCCTCTCCGCCTGGCAGCCACCCCGTCTGGGAAGTGAGGAGCATCTCCGCCCGGCAGCCACCCCGTCCGGGAGGGAGGTGGGAGGGGTCAGCCCCCCGCCAGCCCAGCCGCCCCGTCCGGGAGGGAGGTGGGGGGGTCAGCCCCTGGCCCGGCCAGCCGCCCCGTCCGGGAGGTGAGGGGCGCCTCTGCCCGGCCGCCCCTACTGGGAAGTGAGGAGCCCCTCTGCCTGGCCAGCCGCCCTGTCCGGGAGGGAGGTGGGGGGGTCAGCCCCCCGCCCGGCCAGCCGCCCCATCCGGGAGGGAGGTGGGGGGGTCAGCCCCCCGCCCGGCCAGCCGCCCCGTCCGGGAGGGAGGTGGGGGTGTCAGCCCCCCGCCTGGCCAGCCGCCCCGTCCGGGAGGGAGGTGGGGGTGTCAGCCCCCCGCCCGGCCAGCCGCCCCGTCCGGGAGGTGAGGAGCCCCTCTGCCCGGCCAGCCGCCCCGTCCGGGAGGGAGGTGGGGGGGTCAGCCCCCCGCCCGGCCAGCCGCCCCGTCCGGGAGGTGAGGGGCGCCTCTGCCCGGTGGCCCCTACTGGGACGTGAGGAGCCCCTCTGCCCGGCCAGCCGCCCCGTCTGGGAGGGAGGTGGGGGGGTCAGCCCCCGCCCAGCCAGCCGCCCCGTCCGGGAGGTGAGGGGCGCCTCTGCCCGGTGGCCCCTACTGGGACGTGAGGAGCCCCTCTGCCCGGCCAGCCGCCCCGTCTGGGAGGGAGGTGGGGGGGTCAGCCCCCCGCCCAGCCAGCCGCCCCGTCCGGGAGGTGAGGGGTGCCTCTGCCCAGCCGCCCCTACTGGGAAGTGAGGAGCCCCTCTGCCCGGCCACCACCCCGTCTGGGAGGTGTGCCCAACAGCTCATTGAGAACGGGCCAGGATGACAATGGCGGCTTTGTGGAATAGAAAGGGGGGAAAGGTGGGGAAAAGATTGAGAAATCGGATGGTTGCCGTGTCTGTGTAGAAAGAGGTAGACATGGGAGACTTTTCATTTTGTTCTGTACTTAGAAAAATTCTTCTGCCTTGGGATCCTGTTGATCTGTGACCTTACCCCCAACCCTGTGCTCTCTGAAACATGTGCTGTGTCCACTCAGAGTTAAATGGATTAAGGGCGGTGCAAGATGTGCTTTGTTAAACAGATGCTTGAAGGCAGCATGCTCATTAAGAGTCATCACCACTCCCTAATCTCAAGTACCCAGGGACACAAACGCTGCGGAAGGCCACAGGGTCCTCTGCCTAGGAAAACCAGAGACCTTTGTTCACTTGTTTATCTGCTGACCTTCCCTCCACTATTGTTCTATGACCCTGCCAAATCCCCCTCTGTGAGAAACACCCAAGAATGATCAATAAAAAAAAGAGGAGGGAATGCTATCAGCAAAACACACCAGGGTGGAAAAGCACAATGCATGTTCAGAAAATGCCAAGAACCTTAGTTTGACTAGAGACTAGCATGTTAAGAGTGAAGTATATAAAAAGGTCAAAAAGGAGGTTTGAGCCAGTTTAAAAGTTGTAGGGAATATGGGGAGTTACTAAAGGTATCTGAATAGAGAAATCACAAGAATGAAAGCAATGTTTCAGGAAGAGGCACCTGACGGTATGAATGACAGGCTGGAGAGAGGGACACTAATTAGTAGGCCTGAGATGAAATGCAGTAGGAATGAGAAACTGGTGGTAGGTGAGATGGAGGAAATAAAAATGATAAAATGCCGCAAAAGATGAGGGATAAGGCCTAAGGACAAGAAGAGAATCTCCAGTTTCTATTCTGGGTAACGAAGATAGTGGTAGTGTTAATAGAAAAAAAGAAGTCAGAATAAGCAGCAAGAGTGACAGACAAGATGCAGAGTACAATTTTAGATACTGAAATTGAAATGTTAGTGAGATATCCACATGGTAATGTCAAGGAACTCAATCCAAGGGTACTTATTAGGAACTCAGAACACAGATCAGGGCTAGATATAAACATGAGAATCTTAACTAAGACTGTAGAGTGAGAATCACCATTACCAAGGGAATGAGGAGAAAGCCAGAGTTTAGGATAAAGCACAGTAGAATACCTTCATTTTACAGGCAGAAACAGAAGAGCCTGTTAGAGACAGCCTGTCTCACTGAACTGTACAATTTTTCCCCCAAAAGAAACAGTTTTGTTAACTAGTGCATTAGAATTAGGCTAACTGAAAAAATTCAGATTAAGGAATTAACTCCTATAATTACGGTTAATCTTGCTCACCAAAGTACATTCCCCAGTGCCTAGATCAGTCTGTGGCATAATATATTGTTGAAGACTATATGAAAAGATGAATCCCAAACTCCCTATCCAAATACTACAGATTTCTGTTATACAGGGTTGGGAAAGTTTTTGCCCTGAAGTAGCTAAAATATTCCCAGAAAGTCTTTTCTCATTATTTACTGGCTTAACAATTTCCCATTTTCAATGTAACTCCTATACAGTTATTACAATACTAAATTCATAACTATGTATTAATTAGGTTTTATACATTTTCTCACTACACCCATTCCATCTCCACAAGTCTGAGGTCCAGATATGCTTTAGAATTTTTTTTTCTTAAAAAGGTAATTCAGGGCATATATCATATATTATCAGAGACTCCCCAGTAGGACATAGAGCAGCATCCTGTGATCAAACATCTTAGTATTTCTGCAGCAAAATGTCATGAATAGTCACACTAGGTAGAATAAAGATTATAAACTGCTTCATGTTCGTTCAAGACTGGTTTGCAACAAATAGTTCATGTCAGACCAGGGTTTTTGCCAGAAAACTGTGGGCCTAGAACAAGTAGATGGTACATCAAAAGGATCTTACGGCGTGTTGTCAAAAGTCAGAGCTCACAGCCACTCTCAACTTTTCCCTATTCCTCTCAGCAGTCCTTGGCAACCAAATCCTTCAGCAGCACTTAAAGACCTGCTCATCTTTAATAACAAATGTGCAAAAACCTCTGCCTAAATATGTAGCTTTTAACTAAGCTTTCCCTTAATTCTTCTAGACGTCACTGATTTCTTCCTTCTCCAAACTCTTGCAGCTCTGGTCAGCATGACATCTACCATATCAGCATTTAATCATGTAGCAGGTTATGCTGGTTTTATGAGAACAAGTCACTTTTATCTGAAGAGATCTAAGCAACTTGAAGTCAGGGTCTGCTATTTTACATGTATTTAAAAACTATGTACCGAGTGTCTACGATACTGGGGATACAGTAGTGAACAACGCAGTACTCACTTTCACAAAACTTAACGTTTTAGTTAGAAAAGAGAGATAACAAACAAGCAGGCAAGTAAATAGATAACATGTTACATGGTTTTAAGTGCTATGGAGAAAAATAAAGCAGGGAAGGAGAGAAGAATGCAGGACAAGCCATGTGGATAATCCTAATGAAAAGCATTCTTGGCAGGACAGACAGCATGGTCTAGCACAGTAGGCCTCCCTGCCCACTCCCTGACCGCTCCCTGTACCAAAAAAGAATTGATCACTTCCTTATTTGTTTTCCCACTGTGTTCTATCATACTATTTTTTAATTATTACATATGACAGTATTGCTTCCCAAACTTAAGAAAAATGATGTCTTATTCCAGAGGTTGGTAAATATTTTTTAAAGGCCGCATGATAAATATTTTAGGCTTTGCAGGCCATACAGTCTTTGTTGCAACTATTCAACTGTGTCTTTATAGCAGGAAAACAGCCATAGACAATATATAAAGGAATAAGCATAGATGTGTGCCAGTAAAACTCTACTAACAAAAATAGGCTACACACCAAATTTGGCCCACAAGTAGTAGTTTACCAACTCTTATCTTATTCTGTGAATCCCTGGCAATGAATGACAAAATTTTTTGTAAAGAAACTCAAAAACATATTTATCAATTTGAACAGGATACTAATAAACTCTAGTTAAAATGAATTAAGCACAGGAGAAAATGTTATTTTAATACGTGGCTATCCTTGCTGATTCACCAGTCACTGACTATAGTAAGTATTTACCAATTCCTTACCTAGAGTGTAGGCTACGAAGTTGAGGATGCCCACTACAATCCAAACCCAGTCAGGCACGTGCTTGTGACCTGGTGCTGAAAAGGAAAGCAACTAAGATTTTAATACAGTTTAAGTACAGTAGTTCTTACCATAGCATATACTGACAGTGAGAAGTGTCGCTATTTGTTCATTAGAAGTTAAAGTACTTTACAATATATTTTGAATCCAGAATTACGTAAATAATACCAGGAAACTGATAAAACCAAAAAAGCAACATCCCAGCCTGTCACAAACAGTAAGCAGTTATTTTGAGCTTTTATCGTAACTCAAGACTGAGTGTTCACCTTTACTTGAAAATAAATAATTTTCATGCGCCTACAATGAAAAATAATATATTTTTGGAATTTAGAAATTAATTGCATTTAATCTAATTCTTGTTTATGACTGTATTACAAACTTGTATTGAGCCTTCACCTTATCCTTTCCTATACTATTAATTAGCTAAACAAAAGACCTTTTGATTTGGGTATAGATAGATCACCTCAACTGAATGATTTGGGCATCAGAATCATTCTGAAATATCTAGAGCTCACTTTTTCCCCTAAGACAAAACAACTGAGAATCAGAAAGTCTAGGGTCTAGTCCTGGCTTTGTAATCAACCAGCAGTGTAACCTTGAATGTATCATTTAATCTCTCCCATCTTGTATTTTCCAAATATTTTGGGAACAGATGGTTTATCTGGTCCTTGAACTTATATGATTTGGGGAGATATATATAACATTTACATATGTTTGATGCTGTTAATAGCTAAGTAAATAATCTTATTTAGAGTTGTCAAAGAAAATAGTATTTCTAGTTACAAAGATACATTCTTTAGGGTGTCCTGAGGATTAAAATACAAAAATAAATAAATAAATAAATAAATTTTTAAAAACCCACAATACCCAAACAATGCTTAACAAAATTTAATCTTACTCTTTATTCATGTGTACTTTATGATCTTCTCATGCTTCAGAGTTGGCATTTCCAACTTCAATTACCATTTTATTACATGTACAGAAGCTATGGCTAAAAGTTTCAGTAAAGTTCAGCATATGTATACTTTCAATATTTGGAATTTCTATAGTATCAAAAGTCTTGGCCAGGTGCAGTGGCTCACACCTGTAATCCCAGCACTTTGGGAGGCCAAGGCGGGTGGATCATTTGAGGTCAGGAGTTTGAGACCAGCCTGGCCAACATGGTGAAACCCTGCTCTACTACAAATACAAAAATTAGCTGGGCATGGAAGTACACGCCTGTAGTCCCAGCTACTCAGGACGCTGAGGCAGGAGAATCGCTTGAACCTGGGAGGCAGAGGTTTCAGTGAGCCAAGATGGCATCATTGTACTCCAGCCTGGGCGACAGAGTGACACTCCGTCTCAAAAAAAAAAAAAAAAAAAAAAAAGTCTTAAGTGTTTGAAACTCCAAATTTTTCTACTAAAACAATGTTGTCAGTGGTACTCAGTTTCTCCAGGTCAGTCCAGAAAAGTCTGCTGAACTCATACACAGATGAATTATAACACTAACACTCCTGACTACATCATTTCTAAGTATTACTGTTGGAAAATTCTCTTAGAATGCAAAAAATGCCCATCTATCTCCAACTTTCTATTCCTCTCAATGCAATCAACTGACTGAACAATAAAAACAAAACTTGTCTCCAACTATTCCCTCGTCATCCCAATTCTTTGGCCTGGGGCAGAAGCTGGGTGTGAAACAGAGTGAAGATAAAATGAGTGAGAGAGAAGATGTTGGAGCAGAGGGCAGGAGCAGGCTGACCACTGGCTCCAAAAGTGCCTCCTTCCTCTCTTCCTCAATAAGGGTCCAGACTTAGCAATAAATACTTAAGGTCTAAGTATCATTTTCAGAGGAAACTAGGAGTCATTCAAGTCAAGTAGGGATGCTGGGAAGAAGGAAAGACAATCACATGTCCTTCAGAAGAAAGGGGATTTTTCTTTCATGACTAGAAAAGGAGAAGGGATATTCCTAGAGCTGACAGGTAAACTGAGCCCTGTTTGTATTCATTTTTAGGCAAAGTTTTGAGTCTTAATTTTCCATCTTCATGTAAACCCAATTATTCTTTATCTGCCAAAACCTCATTGCTTTTTAGACAACATATCTAATTCAATAGGCAAGGTGATGCCATTATAATATTCAAAATTTTTTAGAAATATGAACATTTTAACAAAACCAGAAAATAAGCATCCACATTTCATTTTTTTCTACTCAGTTAAATTTTATAATAAAGTAATATTCTTACCTGAGGCATAAAAGTCAGGATCAAAGTATGCCATTAGCAGAAAATTGAATACGACCAGCAGAAAGCCAGAAAAAGTTATCAGATTGGGCGCCAGCCAAGTAGGAAATACCTATTTTTGCAAAATAATTATAAAATAATTAAAGTAGAGGAATCTCTGTCCAATGTATACTACAACATGCAAACTGAAGTCATAATAAAAGCTATACATTTGAAAGATCATATGGAGAAGTTATAGACATTAACACGTAAACGATAATCTCCATCAGCATTCTTTCTTCCATCCTCTATTTTTTAACTAACTCTGTAATCAGCAAACTTCTATAATCATAACATTAAGTCTATTTTAGAAAAATTTTAAAAGGGATTTTACAAAAGTGACAAATCCCAGGGTATAAACTTCAACAGTAAGATAAATCAAAAGGTATGTGATTTGGGGTATTGTGATTGGGGAAGGGTGGTTTCTCTAAATATCTTATGAAACTGAGAGTTGCATTTATAATACTCCATAAAATAGGTTAAAATCTTTAAAACTTACTAAAACAAAAAGTACATACATATTAATTATCTTACCTTTACTATAGTGTTCCAGAATGGATGCATGACATACAGAGAAAGTGGATTGGTATCCACAGCACTGTACTGTTAAGAAATGAAAGAAAATATTCAGAGTAAATCCTTGCCTACTAGTAGACAGAATAACATTTCTTAGGTGAAAATAATAGTAAAGCCAGGCGCAGTGGCGCATGCATATAACCCAGCTACTCAAAAGGCTGAGGCCTGAGGATCACTTGAGCCCAGGAATTTGAGACCAGCCTGGGCAACATAGTGAGATCCCATCTCCAAAAAAAAAAAAAAAAAAAAAGGGGGAGAAAGAAAGTAATAGTACAAAAATACTACAGGCCAGGCATGGTGGCTCACACCTATAATCCTAGCACTTCGGGAAGGTCAAGGCAGGCAGATTACTTGAGGTCAGGAGTTCAAGATCAGCCTGGCCAACGTGGTGAAACCCTGTCTCTACTAAAAATACAAAAATTTGCTGGGCCATGGTGGCACACGCCTGTAATCCCAGCTACTTGGGAGGCTGAGGCAAAGGTTGCAGTGAGCCAAGCCTGTGCCACTGCACTCCAGCCTGGGCGACAAAGCAAGACTGAGTCTCAAAAATAATAATAATAATAATACAAAAATAACCTGGAGAATACACCTATTTTTATGATGTCCTAATCTGAGTAGCAAAACTGGAATAGCAACATAAATGAGGCAAAGACTATCAAGCAGTCAGATATTATCATAGGGGAAGTCTAAAGATCAACCCAAATCGCAGAGTTAATCATACAGTGGTTGTTTCATTGGCACATACAACCAGAGTCCAAATCGCCAAGATAATCACTGACTCATCCTTCACTCTCAATCAGCTTTTACATTATGGTGTTTCAGTAGAGAAATTTTTATTGCTTACATGTCCTCACTTATTATGCAGGATCAGCAAAATGCACACTGCATGCATTCACACACTAACCACACACCTTCTCAACCTCCTTCATCCCTCTCAACTTAGCGGAATCTGTGTTTCCTTTTGATACTATTACGATACACTTACTACCTGTGAGACCTTGGGCAAGTTACTTAATCTCTCTGCCTTAGTTTCTTCACCTGTAAAATGAAGATGATAGTCCTTACCTCAAGGGATTGTCATAAGGATTAGATATGTGAAGTGCTCAGAACTGACCTACAGTAAGTACTACGTAAGTATTAGCTATTATAATTACATATGTTTTAAGTACCAAAGGAATGACAGATCCCTGTATAGCAGGATACTGAATTGCATAAACACGCACAGGAAGACAAAATAGGTTAGGGTCATACGGTAAGGGAGCTTATTCCCCAGTTACTGAGCTATTTAATAAGAATGTAAAGGAAATTTTAAAAGACATACATAAACATGTAAAACTTTAAGGGTCATGTTGATAACTTATTCACTCCACACACACACACACTGCTAGGTATGGGGAAGAAGAGATACAAAACTGGTAACAGACAAGTCTTGAACTAGGTAATATTAGCCTAGTTCAAACCCTCCTTGAGGGTTCACAGTATTACCTGGGTGATTACCTAATTCATCCATCTGAAATTTACATATTATACTAGTCACACGCTTGAAAAAGTTTTTCTTTTTTTTTTCTTTTTTTTGAGACAGAGTCGCTCTGTCACCCAGGCGGGAATGCAGTGGCGCGATCTCAGCTCACTGCAACCTCCGCCTCCTGAGTTCAACCAATTCTCCTGCCTCAGCCTCCCGAGTAGCTGGGATTAGAGGTGTGCACCACCTGGCTAGTTTTTGTATTTTTAGTAGAGACGGGGTTTCACCATGTTGGCCAGGCTGGTCTTGAACTCCTGATCTCAGGTGACCCACCTGCCTCGGCCTCCCAAAGTGCTGGGATTACAGGCGTGAGCCACCAGACCTGGCCACCTTTGCTTATATTTTCTATGTGTGTTCAGTATGTATACAAAATAAGTAGTAATCATTTGAGTATCTGATTTTTAAAAATCATAATTAAAGATCAAAATTTCTTTCTGAATAAGTTTTATGAATATGGAAGAAATACATCAGTGTTTCAAGACTTAAAAGTGTGATGGATCACGAGGTCAGGAGATCGAGACCATCCTGGCTAACACGGTGAAACCCCGTCTCTACTAAAAATACAAAAAATTAGCCGGGCACGGTGGCAGGTGCCTGTACTCCTAGCTACTCGGGAGGCTGAGGTAGGAGAATGGCGTGAACCCGGGAGGTGGAGCTTACTCCAGCCTGGGCGACAGAGCAAGACTCTGCTAAAAGAGTCAACTCTTTTAGCAAAGAGTCAACCAATAAGCCAAATGTTTATTCAACAGACTCCATGTCTGAGGTTCTTCCATTTCTCCAACCCATCCTAACTAAAATGAAATAAATTGGACAAAAGATCTGAGACAGTAGTAAGAAATGATGATGGGCTGGCTAGGTGCGTGGCTCACGCCTATAATTCCAGCACTTTGGGAGGCCGAGGCGGGCGGATCATTTGAGGTCATGAGTTCGAGACCAGCCTGGCTGACACGGTGAAACTCCGTGTCTACTAAAAATACAAAAACAAATTAGTCGGGTGTGGTGGCATACGCCTGTAATCCCAGGTACTTGGGAGGCTGAGGCAGGAGAATCGTTTGAACCAAGGGGGCACAGGCTGCAGTGAGCCAAGATTGTGCCACTGCGCTCCAGCCTAGACTACAGAGTGAGACTCCATCTCAAAAAAAAAAAAAAGAAATGATGATGGACAATGTGGTTTGCTTCTAATGGCCAGAGGTAGAAACTCTAAAGCTGCATCCAGCCTCTCAGCAGGAGCCCACTTATATTAGTACAGCAGTCACCTACTTAACCAAGGTTTCATTTTAACCATAGCCAACCAGGGTCGGAAAATAGGTAAGTACAGTACACACAGACGTTTTGAGAGAGAGAGACCAAATTCACATAAATGTAATAACAGTACATTGTTATAGTTGTTTTATTCTTAGTTGTTGTTGTTAATCACTCACTGTGCCTAAACTTTATCACAGGTGTGTATGTATAGGAAAAAATAGTATATACAGTCGCCCCTCGGTATCTTTGGGGAATTGGCCCCAGGACTCTCTGTGGATGTTCAACTCCCTTATATAAAATGGCACAGTATTTGTCTATAACCTACACACATCCTCCCATATACTTTTTGAGACGGAGTCTCACTCTGTCTCCCAGGCTGGAGTGCAGTGGCGCGATCTTGGCTCACTGCAAGCTCCGCCTCCCAGGTTCATGCCATTCTCCTGCTTCAGCCTCCTGAGTAGCTAGGACTATAGGCGCCCACCACCACGCCCAGCTAATTTTTTGTATTTTTAGTAGAGACGGAGTTTCACCGTGTTAGCCAGGATGGTCTCGATCTCCTGACCTCGTGACCCACCCACCTTGGCCTCCCAAAGTGCTGGGATTACAGGCGTAAGCCACCGTGCCGGCCAGGATGGTCTACAGTTTACAAAGCCTTTCCATAATAGATATCACTCCATTGGAGCCTGTGCAGAATGAAAGAGTTCTGAACTGACAGGACTGCCTGAATTTAAGTCTTCAGACCTGAGGACCAGGAACCAATATGAACCCCTACAGGCTGCCAATGACAAGATAGGAGGGCCCTACACTCCTTTACTTCACAAAAGTCTGCACCCAGAACCACGAAATATAGCCAGCGGGGCAAATAAAATGAAAAATCACTCCTTTCAAGTCCACCATCCATCTTAAAGCACAGAAGTTGTAAGTTCAGATCAGAAGAAAACCGTTTAAGATATCACATGAATACCTAATATAGTGCACAAAGTAACTGTGCAATGTTCTTAATTCAACTGTTTGCTCATTTTCATTCAGCAGCTTTCCATAATTTAACTTTAATCTAAAAGAACGTCTTTAAGGAATGGTATTTTGACTTGAAAAGCTCCGCTTTTAAAATTCTGAAGCTTTAACATGAAATTTCGACTTCAGGAGATCAGAAGTTTGACACAAGGAGGCCAGTTTACCTAATTGGATTTCAATTATTTGACATTCAATAACAGCTGATGAGTTCAAACAGGAAGAAAGATTAATAGATTATAGAAGGCAGCAAAACTCTGTGCTCTCGCCTTACACACCTGAGTATTTTTCAAGGTCACATACCACTCACAATAAACAAACTCTAAACTGTCTTAAGAACCCACAAGAAGAAGAATGACTTGAACCTTCCATGTTCATGAAAAAGATAAAATGCAGACTTTTAAAGGTGCTAGACTAGATTTGGGTTTGTTAATGTTTGTTAAAGGTATTATTTTCCACTGGAGTGACATTTTGGCAAACACCAGGAAACCTGAACCAGGTAGATAATCCAGTTAAGACCTGGCATGACTTGCTTGGCTCTACAATCTATCAGGCTAGGGTAAGCTAGAGCCCTCAAAACTGCTTGAGGACCACAGGCTGGGTTTGATAGACTCGTTCCATGAAAAACCTCAGAGCTCAGAGATGCCTAACCTTATACACCATTGTATATCTGACCCTCATTTAGGAGAAGACGTAAAACAGTCATCGGGCCTCATTTTACAGGCCTCAGATCACCAAAAAACCAAAACAAACAAAAAAACTCACCAACTCATTACTTCCAGAAGCAACCCAATTCAAAGTTAAAACAATTTTTCTATACACTAACAAAATCCTCCCCTGCCCTATATCATCTATCCTGTGTTTTCATTTTGCTCTACAAGTTAAGCAGTCTAATTTTTCTTTTTTTTGAGACAGAGTCTCACTCTGTCACCCAGGCTGGAGTGCAGTGGTGTGATCTCAGCTCACTGCAACCTCTGCCTCCCGGGTTCAAACGATTCTCCTGCCTCAGCCTCTTGAGTAGTTGGGATTACAGGCACCCGCCACCACACCTGGCTAATTTTTGTATTTTTAGTAGAGTCGCGGTTTCACCATGTTGGTCAGGCTGGTCTTGAACCCCTGACCTCAGGTGATCTGCCCATCTCAGCCTCCCAAAGTTCTAGGATTACAGGCAAGTACCACTACACCAGGCCTAATTTTTCTTCTAAACTACAGTCTTTCAAATATTTGAAGACAGCGCTCCCTGTCACACCTAAATCTTTTCATCATCTGTTCCTATACTCCTTTTTGCCATGGTTTCAGTCTCCTTCGTTATCTAGGTCTAGTTTAATACACCAGGGGTTGGAGAGCTTTTTCTGTAAAGGTCTATATAGTAAATATTTGAGGCTTTGCAGGCCATATGGTCTTTGCAACAAATACATAACACTTGGAACAGGAAAGCAGTCACAGAAAATATGTAAGCAAATGGGGCTGGCGGTGTTCTAATAAAACTGTATTCACTAAAACAGGCAGACTGGGGGCTTCAGTTTGACAACCCCTGCTTCAGACAATCCAATTTGTTGTTAAATCAACACAAACATGTGGTCTAGGGCAAAAGGAGCATTTCAAGTGGTATATGAATAGGAAGCAGAACATGACTATAAGCCCCTCTTCCTTGATAACTTATGCTGCTCAAGATATTATTAATTCCCGGGACAACTAAATCATACTGCAGTCACCTGAACCCCCTCAGGCCTTTCTCACGTGGACTGCAAAGCCATCTTTCTCTATGCTAATATGAGCTTGACTACTGGAATGCAGGTGTGATACTGCATCTAAAGTTTTAACATTTCATCTTGCTAAAGTCAACTCATTTCTGCCCTCTCCAGATTTCTTCTGATCCTGGCTTGGTTATCCAAGGAAATAGCTATTCCTACCAAAACTCTCAGCATATAAATCTGGTCATGCTAATAATGCTTTCACTTAAGTCTCTGTAAAAATGCCAATCAACGTAGACCTTCTAAATATTTCCCTCAAGACTGCTATTATGGACCGGGCATTGTGGCTCATGCTTGTAATCCCAGTGCCTTGGGAGGCTGAGGTGGGGTGGGGGAATCACTTGAGCCCAGGAGTTTGAGACCAGCCTGGGCTATAAAAGGTTTTTTTTGTTTTGTTTTTGTCTTCTTTTGAGACGGAGTCTCACTCTGTCACCAGGCTGGAGTACAGTGGCAGCGATCTCGGCTCACTGCAACCTCCGCCTCCCAGGTTCAAGCGATTCTCCTGCCTCAGCCTCACAGATGTGCACCCCATAGCCTGGCTAAATTTTGTATTTTTAGTAGAGATGGGGTTTCACCATGTTGGCCAGGCTTGTCTTGAACTCCTGACCTCAAGAGATCCTCCCGTCTTGGGCTCTCAAAGTGCTGGGATTGCAGGCGTGAGCCACTGCGCCCCACTGAGACTGGGTAATTTATAAAGAAAAACAGGTTTAATGGACTCACAGTTCCATGTGGCTGAGGAGGCCTCACAATCATAGTGGAAGGCGAAAGGCATGTCTTACTTGGCGACAGGCAAAGAGAATGAGAGCCAAGCAAAAGGGGTTTCCTCTTATAAAACCATCAGATCTCATGAGACTTATTTACTACCACAAAAACAGTATGGAGGAAACCGCCCCCATGGTTCAATTTCTCCGAATGGGTCCCTCCCACAATTCGTGGGAATTATGGGAGCTACAATTCAAGGTGAGATTTGGGTGGGGGCACAGCCAAAGCATATCAGCAACAAAGCAAGACACTGCTCCCCACACCCCTTAAAAAATAACCACATGTACACAATTTGTGATAAATACTACAAAGGGAATTATCCGAGTATTATGTAAGAAGAGGACAAGGGGACAGAAACACAGGGAAGAAGGCCATATGAAGAGGGAGGGCAAGCTTGGAGTTACGCTGCCACAGGCCCAGGCAGGCCAGGAGCTACTGGAAGCTGAAATAGAGGCAAGGAAGGATTCTCGCCTAGAGCTTTTGGAGGGTGTGTGGCTCTGCCAATACCTTGTTTTTCTACACTTCTAGCCTCCGTAACTATGAGAGAATTAAAATTCTGTTGTTTAAAGCCACTCAGTGTGTGGTAATTTTTATGGCAGCCTTAGGAGGCTAGTAAAGATGGTAACCAGCTCCCAAAAAAGAAGAGAACAAGTGGAGCAGGAAGTGTGCCTAGTCAGAGTGGTCAGAGGCAGCTTCTAGAAGGCGACATTTAAGCTGAGTCCTAGATGAGAAGGCAGTCAGGTAAAGAATGTATGAGACACAGTAGTGAGTGGAAGGCTAAAGACAATGTGCTTTCATAGATTCCACTTATATGAAGTTCAAAAACAGAATTGATTTATGGCAAAAGAAGTCCTAACAGTAGTTTGGTGAGAGGGACTGATGGGGACCTTCTGAGGCACTAGAAATAATTCTGTATCTTGAGCTGGGTGGTGGTTACATGGGTATATACACATGTAATAAAGCAGTAAATTATACACTTAAGATCTTAATGTATTACAGTATTTATATGTAATTTTTACCTAAAAAGGAAAAGAGAGAGAAAACGAAAGACTGTATGACTCACGTGTGTGTGTGTGTGGAGGTAGGGATGTAATACATGCCAAGAAACACCTTCAAGGCAGGAGAACAATAACATGTACAAAGACCACCAACAGAAGTATCAGAAATGCTGAAGGAAGGCCAATGGAGCTCCAGCATCATAAAGAAGGGTGATATAAAATGAGACTGGAAAGGTGGGCAGACATCACCTGGCAGGACCACAGGGAGTTGGATTTTATTCTAAGAACAAAAAATGGTCCTTAAGAGGACCATTCTGAACATGATGTAGAAAATGGACTTGAAGGGGGTAAAGTACAAACTAGAGACCAGTTAGAAACTATTATAGTTTATCAGGCAAGTGACAATTATGGGTTTAGTCTAGGAGCAGTACAATGACTTGTAAAATACTTTCTAAATATGCTGTGAAGTGTCCATTTTTGAGAAGATTAGAAATGAGTCCCCCTTAATTTAAGAAGGAAATTGGCTCTAACATAAGGAAAACTATGAAAACACCTTCTTGGACCTAAAAGTATGTCCTTTATACATGTATTTAAATCCCTTCTATGTACCAATAAGAAAACTGAACTGACACATCTTTGCACTAAATACTGAGCTCTGGACAACTTAGTAATCACACTGAGTCCACTGCCCCAAGTAATGCTCTACTATCTATTAACCAGGCATGGTAGTACACGCCTGTAGTCCCAGCTACTCAGGAGGCTGAAGTGGGAGGATCACCTGAACCCAGGAGTTTGAGGCTGCAATGAGCTATGACATGTCACTGTACTTCAGCCTGGGCAACAGAGGGAGATCTTATTTCTAATTAAAACAAAACATCGCTAA
Source organism: Homo sapiens (assembly GCF_000001405.40). Lineage (NCBI taxonomy): Eukaryota > Metazoa > Chordata > Mammalia > Primates > Hominidae > Homo > Homo sapiens. The sequence goes on along the minus strand of NC_000002.12, from coordinate 26,356,153 downwards.
ACTTAAAATACAAAAAAAGTAGGGGGAAGGATAATTAACCCTAGGACAGAAATAAAAAGTTTTTTAATGTACTTTTAATCAATACAAGACTTGAGGCCAGGAATGCTGGCTCACCCAGGCAAGGTGGCTCACGCCAATAATGCCAGCACTTTGGGAGGCTGAGATAGGCAGATAGCTTGAACCCAGAGCTTCAAGACCAGCCTGGGAAACACAGAGAAACCCCATTTCTACAAAATAATACAAAAATGAGCCAGGTGTGGTGGCGTATGACTGTAGTCCAGCTACTTGAGAGGTTGAAGTGGGAGGATCACCTGAGCCTGGGGAGGTTGAGGCTACAGTGAGCCGTGATAGTGCCACTGCACTCCAGCCTAAGCAACAGAGCGAGACACTCTCTCAAAAAAAAAAAAAGGGAGAGAGAGAGAGAGACTTGAAGAACTACGCCCACAGAGAACATGACTCATTGAGCAAGGAGATCTAATTTCAGTGAATACCGTCGTTTACATCTAACAAGTCGGAGAGAGGAGGGTGGCAATAGGAGACTGGAGAATTAGAGCAATGAGACAAATACAAGCAAGTCATGATGACAAACAGGTTTGCTTGCTAGACTTTAAGTAAGCTCTAACAAGATGAGAAGATATGGCAAAAGGAGGCGTCATTTAGTGAATGAACTTGAAATCTTTGCTGAGGAATTTGGATATCAAACACATGGAAGCCACTGCTGACTCTTAAATAGGGTGCAGTATTTGAGAAAAATTATTTATTGTCTCTGTGCTATTACATATAATTATTCTTTTCAGAAGAAATCTGAAGCCAAAGACTATCTGGGGGACCCAAGCTAGACAGACTCCTTATTACTCTTTCCAGCTGTCCATTACGTTGCCACCCTTCACTTCCTATCTGAAAATAGTTTCTCTTGGTATAACCACCAGGGATGTGTATAAGTGTGGATATATTATATGCTAGCCAATGTTCATTTGTGCAGGGAATCACAAATGTCAAGTTTTATTTATTTACTCAGCACTTATACAGCACTATGTGCCAGGCACTTTATAAATTTTAACTCATTCAGTTTTCAGAATTATCCTATGGGGTAGGTACTACTCCATTTCACAGATGAGGAAACCTGGTTAGATTAAGTTACCTGCTAAGTATCACACAGCTGGTATGTGGAAACTTTTTAACGTAATATTAGTCCAAAAGCTAATTATTTAATCAAAAGCCTTTTATCTCAAATAGAGCTAATCATAAATGAAATGGTCTTTATGCTCAACTAAATGCAAGACTAGTAAATTCAGGCCCGCTTGCCCCTACTAATAATTTTAAACCAGGGAAAGAGTAAACAAAATCAGGTTTTTTCCACTACATTTTCCCCATCTGCGTACATTAGATACACATCCAATTAAGCATGCCATTGAAGGTCTTTATTCTAATGTTTATATATCTTACACAAAAACAGCCAGTACCGCCAGGCGCGGTGGCTCACATCTGTAATCCCAGCACTTTGGAAGGCCAAGGCGGGCGAATCATGAAGTCAGGAGATCAAGACCATCCTAGCTAACACGGTGAAACCCCGTCTCTACTAAAAAAAAAAAACAAAAAATTAGCCGGGCGTGGTGGCGGCCGCCTGTAGTCCCAGCTAATCGGGAGGCTGAAGAAGGAGAATAGCGTGAACCCAGGAGGCGGAGCTTGCAGTGAGCCGAGATCGCACCACTGCACTCCAGCCTGGGCGACAGAGCGAGAGTCTCGAAAAAACAAAAACAAAACAAAAAAACAAAAACAAACAGCCAGTACCTACAAGGCAGAGTTTATATTTCACTCTTAGTTTTGAGAGGCAGAATAGCAGGAAGAACATGGACTCCAGACTGATTGCCTGAGTTCAAATCTCAGCTCCACCACTTACGAGCTGTGGGACCCTGAGCAAATTACTTAAATTTTCAGTGTCTCGGTGAAACAGGGAAAATAGTACCTCTTTCTCAGATGGCAGTTGTGAATATTAAATGAGATAATACACATAAAGCACTTAAAGCAGTGCCTGGCACAGAGTATACAATATATAAATGTTTGCTATCATTATTATTGTTATTCAGTATTTATGATGATAATGCTTTCCCTCACTGAGCTCCCAAGGCTCGGCCTGGTCACTTACACACCCGCCACTTCCTTGTGCTTCTAACATACCAGGGTCTTTCCAGTCTCTGTGCCTTGGTTCCCACGGGTGTCTTTGAATGGCACACCTTTCCCCGAGTTTCCCGTATGCAGTAGGCAAACTCTTATTTAGCAAAGAATTTCTTAATATTTAAGCACTACAGCAGTTAGAGAAACAAGCCATCATCAGTGAACTGTTATTTCAGAAGGCAGTAAAAGATCCAATTCAAGATGTTTCCTCCAAATAGCACCTAAAAATGTAGTAGCCATCTTCTTACCACTAAATCTCTCCCCTTCTGCAGTTTTCCACCCATCCTTCTTGTCTCTGCCAACTGCAGAAATAATTCTTTCTGCCAGACATATATAAATCACTATCTAAGACAACTAGAATACATTTCAAGCCTTATTAATGTACTTACAGGGAACAGAGGGCAGTTCCCCAAATCTAGTCAAGGTGACAAAGGTACAATTAAAGATAAGTTATGCTTCAATTAACTGTAATGGATCCAGGCAATGCCATAATTAACATATTGTATTGTAGTCAGCTTGTAGTCATAATAAATGAAAATCAAAATATCAAGAATTTCTCATGTTCTATTGAGGCTCTAAAAGGAAAAGTGTTCGTATCTTTGAAATTTTTACAGAAATGTCCTCTAATAGAGGACAACTCATTCACAAATGAGATTTCTTTACAAGTTTTCTTTGTTTTAATTCCAAGTCCATAAGCCACACTTTCATGTGGTCCCATCCAAGAGAAGTGACCTGTGCAAAACACTATTGTATTTTTTTAAAAAATTATATATATAAAACAGTATGCTGTTTCATAAAACCCTGCCTCAGTGACTACCACTTCTATCCACCCAGTCATCCTACCAGAACCTGAGTCATCCTAGACTCCTCCCCGTCTTTTATGTGGCCCTCTACACCACCTCCAGCTAGTCAGTCACCATGTTCTGCCAATCTTGTATCTTCAAATCAAGGATCACAGGGATCTAGCAGGTAAACTGAACAAAGCATTCCTGCATAAAGCATATGCATTGGTAGAGAAGTGGCAAATTAGAGAGCAAATAAAAAGAGGGCAAGCACTATTCAGCATCAGCTGATTCTTGTCAAGAGGAAGTTCAGGGCCAGTATAGTCCAATATTCTGGTTTTTTTTTTTTTTTTCAAGAGAATCCAGAAATCTGGACTTTTATGAGAAAGACACTAATTTTTTTTATTATTATTGAGATGAAGTCTCGCTCTGTCTCCCATGCTGGAGTGCAGTGGCACGATCTTGGCTCACTGCAACCTCCACCTCCCAGATTCAAGCGATTCTCCTGCCTCAGCCTCCCAAGTAGTTGGGATTACAGGCACACACCACCATGCCCAGCTAATTTTTGTATTTTTAGTAGAGACAGGGTTTCACCATCTTGGCCAGGGTGGTCTCGAACTCCTGACCTCGTGATCCACCTGCCTCGGCCTCCCAAAGTAACTGAGATTACAGGCGTGAGCCACCGCACCCGGCTAGAGATACTAATTTTTGAAAGAAAGCAAGTGTGGGCCAAATTAAACATAACTGTTGGCTAAATTCAGTGTGCAGGTCAACCTGTTTTGACGTCTATCTTTAGAATCCCCACTCCTTCCTTTTTATCCCCACCCCTTAGTTCAGGCCTTTGACATTTCTTAACTTAGTTTTATGCAGAAGCATCCTAAAAGGCCTCCAGAGCACCTCTATCTCTCTCCATCTTCTACACGCTGCCAGAGTGAGCTTCCTAAAATTGAAATGTGATCCTGTCTAGATTTCAATTTTAAACAGTGGCTCCCCAAAACCTATAGCACTATAATGTGCCTAAGAACCACTTAAGATATTTGGCTTTTTTTTCTTCTCTGAGACAGGGTCTCACTCTGTCACCTAGACCAGAGTGCAGTGGCGTGATCTCAGCTCACTGCAGCCTTGACTTCCCAGGCTTCAGCAATCCTCCCACCTCAGCCTCCAGAGTAGCTGGGACACAGGTATGCGCCATAACACCCGGCTAATTTTTGTATTTTTGGTGAAACTGGGTTTCACCATATTGTCCCAGCTGGTCTCAAACTACTGGGCTCAAGCAATCCACTTGCTTTGGCCTCCCAAAGTGCTGGAATTAAGGCCTAAGGCACTGCACCTGGCCTGAGGTATTTGTTAAAGATGGAAATAACCGCAATCTATCCAATCTGTATCTCCCAAAGAGAGCCAGGAATTTGCTAAAGACCCTCCCGAAGTGATTCTGATGCCAACAGTCCTTGAACCACACAGTGATCTACAGGATCAAATCCAGAAGTCCTTTACATCAAATCATTCCCCTCTGACAGCACCCCACCTCCCTCTCCAGTCTCATCTCCTGCCACTCCACCATTATGTCTAAAGACCTTATCTAACTTCTTGTGGTTCCCAGAAAATACCGAGGCCTTCATCACTTTACACTCCATTGCTCTCTTGTTCCATAATGCCTTTCTCCCCTCTTAACCTGGTAGTACAGTCTGATTTATGACAGTTTCACTCGTAATTTTTCAACTTTACGATGGTGCAAAGGCAACACGCATTCGGTAGAAAGTGCTATGATATTCTCTCAAAATTCTGGGCAGCACAGCGAGCCACAGCTCCTAGTCAGTAATGCAATCACAAGGGTGAACAGGCCAGGTGTAGTGGCTCATGCCTGTAATCCCAGCACTTTGGGAGGCCAAGGCAGGCGGATCACCTGAGGTCCGAAGTTCAAGACCACCCTGGCCAACATGGCGAAACCTGTCTCTACTAAAAATACAAAAATTAGCCGGGTGTGGTGGTGCGTGCCTGTAATCCTAGACACTCGGGAGGCTGAGGCACGAGAATTGCTTGAACCCAGGAGGTGGAGGTGGCAGTGAGCCGAGATTGTACCTCTGCACTCCAGCCTGGGCAACAAAACGAGACTCCGTCTCAAAAAAAAAAAAAAAAAAAAACAAACAAACAGTGAACAACCAATTCTCTACTGCACTGCCAGATGATTTTGCTCAAGTACAGGCGAATTAATCTAAGTGTTCTGAGCACATTTAAGGTAGGCTAGGCTAAGCTATGATGTTCAGTAGGTTAAGTGTATTAAATGTATTTTTGACTACAATAGGTCTATCAGGAACAGAAACCCATCATAAATGGAGCAGCATCTCTCTCTCTCTCCTTCTCTCTATATAATATAAATATACATATTCATCTTTCTAGACTGAGCTTTGCCTTCACCTCCATCCCCTGAAGGCTTTCTCAACTCTAGCTCCCACTCCCTGGAAGCTGCCTCCTCTCCTCTTCCATAGCAGCCAGCACTTGCCTAACTGGACTTATTAACTTTTTATAACTGTTCATTTACATGTTCACATGCCACCAAACTGAGTTATTTGAAGACAAGAATTTCAACTTAGCTTAATTTTGCAGCCCAAATGCTATGCCTGACACTGAGTAGACCCTCAATAAATGCTTGTTGAATAAACAAAATCAAACTGTATGATGGCCAGGCACGGTGGCCCCTGCCTATAATCCCAGCACTTTGTGAGGCCAAGGGAGGAAGATCACCTGAGGAATTCAAGGCTGCAGTAAGCTATGATCGCACCACTGCACTCCAGCCTGGGCGACAAAGCAAGACCCTGTCTCTAAAAAAAGATAAGAATGAAAATAATTTTTTATGAAATTTTCAGGAACTAGTAAGGTTAAAGGCCAGATTCTGGTTCTTTAGTATTACCATTAAGATGCAAACACAATCTCTCTTTACCACCTCTAATTGTAATACTAATAAATTCACAATTATCATGATTCCTATAATCAGGCTGTTGTTGAGAGCCAAGTTAATTAATTACCATAATATCAAAAACCAGTTCATCATGAAACTATATATATATTTATACACACACACTTTTTTTTTTTGAGTCAGGGTCTTTCTCTGTTGCTCAGGCTGCAAAACAGTGGCACAATCATAGCTCACTGCAGCTCAACTTCCAGACTCAACTGATCCTCCCACTTCAGCCTCCCAAGTAGCTAGGACCATAGGCACGTGCTACCATGCCTGGCTAATTTTTTTTTTTTTTTTTTTTTTTTTTTGTGGAGATGAGGTCTCACTATGTTGCCCAACTTCTATCCTCAAGCCATCCTCCCACCTCAGCCTCCGGAAGTGTTGGGATTACAGGCATGAGCCACTGTGCCCAGACAAATAACTTTCTCGAACCAACCAAACAAGATATTTCACAGAATATTTCCTCCCTTAGGCAAAATGATACAATTTCAAAGTAGCTGCTACACTATCAATTAAAACTTTGCCTTCCCAAATGATGAGCAAACCAGGACAAAAAAAAAAAAAAAAAAACCAACTTGCAGTTTCACCCTTAGATAAGTGGGGAAAAATCCCTCAACTATAAAGACCTGTCCAAGGGCTGGGCACGGTGGCTCACGCCTTTAATCCCAACACTTTGGGAGGCCGAGGTGGGTGGATCACCTGAGGTCAGGAGTTCGAGACCAGCCTGGCCAACATGTGAAACCCTGTCTCAAAGAAAAATACAAAAATTAGCCGGGCATGGTGGCAGGCGCCTGTAATCCCAGCTACTCAGGAGGCTGAGGCAGGAGAACTGCTTGAACCCGGGAGGCGGAGGCTGCAGTGAGCTGAGATCGCGCCACTGCACTCCAGCCTGGGCGACAAAAGCAAAACTCCATCTCAAAAAAAAAAAAAAAGACAAGTGTGGTGGCTCATGCCTGTAATCTCAGCACTCTGGGAGGCCAGGGCGGATCACCTGAGGTTGGGAGTTCGAGACCAGCCTGACCAACATGGAGAAATGCACCGCTACTAAAAATACAAAGTTAGCCAGGTGAGGTGGTGCATGCCTGTAATCCCAGCTACTCGGGAGGCTGAGACAGGAGAATCGCTTGAACGCAGGAGGCGGAGGTTTCAGTGAGCTGAGATCGCGCCATTGCACTCCAGCCTGGGCAACAAGAGCAAACCTCCATCTCCAAAAAAAAAAAAAAAAAAAAAAAAAAAAAAAAAAAGCCTGTCCAAAACAAAGGATGGGTAGAGGCAAAAATAAGGCTGAAATCCTTCAGTATAATTCTCTGAAGTTACCTTAGTTAATAAGCAACAGAGAACAATGGCAGTTAAACCTGATATCTTCACATTTAAAATACAAAAGCACCCTTTCAATATCCAGACATAGAGCTCCTTTTTTTTTTTTAACCATACTTCCAAAATGGTTGATTCTTTTACATTCTCATTCCTTCAATATTTGTTTAGCACTTACTCTGTTCATGGTACTGTGCTAGACCTCAGTCATGTTATTAAAGAAAAAAAAAAAAAAGTCAGCCATAGGGCCTGCCCTCTTAAAGCTCACGTCCTAAAAGAGAAAGTAGACATTCAACTAATAGTCAACTAACTGTTTAATACAATTGCGTTAAGTAACACAATAGCGAATGCAAGTGTCAATACATAACACAGAATCCATCCCACGCTCTTCCATACCAAAAATCAATTGTCTTATAGTTTCCTGCTTCAGAAACCTAATTTCCACTCCCCGTGTGCACCCCTTTCAGCAGTTATTCTGTATATCTGTCAGGTTTCCAACTGTAGCTCTCAGATATACCTCTAGGGAAGATAAATTAAACTACTTCAAAAGTAATTTTTCCACCAACTGCTTTTGTAGTGTCAGTTCTTCTTTACATCCCTCTTATAAAGCATCACATGAGGGAATACAAAATATCTTTTGAGTGTTTTCAATCTTTACCCATTTATGGGGAAAAAAGACTTTTTAAAATAAGCATTTATAAAGCGCTTACTATCTGAAGACAACATAAGGGGAACGCAACGATAAGAAAAAAAGATCTGTGAGATTTGTGTTCAAGCAAAACTGATCCCATGGATTTTTCCTTTGGATACCACTGGATTCATAATTTTAATATAAATGCAGTATTGAGTAATTGCAATAGAAGAATATTTAGGTTATAAATGTGTGCTTTTTTTTCCCCAAGGAAGCCTCATTATAACTAAAATGATATCAACAAACTATTTTAGTGAACATTGGACGCTTGCTAAATCGACCTTTGTTTTCCAGGATGATAGGAAGTCATCTGCTGTCAGATACAGGAACTTATATAATAAAAAAGGGGGAAAGATCAGAACAGAAAATTACACGAAACTTCTAGTAAATTAAGACACTTATTTAGTTGAAAATATAAATCTAGGGAAGATTCTTTATAAGAAAAAGGAGATTTCCTATTATAAACACTGCTCCCATTGAAATAGCTATTTTATTGGCACTTAGAAAGTCAGACCCTAGTAAGGAAGAAAATGTTTTATATGTCAATATTTACCCTGCAGAACAGACAACAAAAGGGGAGTAGAGCTTAAGGCAAAACAGGAGGTATCTGGGTTAACAGCCTTCTAAAATGAAAGTTGAAAAGCACTGGCCCGAGTTACCAAGAAGGCTCTGGACCCTCTTTCCACTTAAAATGTTAAGACAAGTCATCACCTCGGTTCAGAATGGTATGGCACAATACGGCTTGAAAGCAGAGAAACATGCTATGTGACCTTCTAAGGACCCTTGCTTTTTTTTTTTTTAACTCGAGTTAAACAAAATCCATTATGACTTTTTCAGTTATTCATTCATTCCACAAATGCTTACTGGGTGCCTAGTATGCACATAGCACTGTGCTTAAGCCATGATGGTCCACAAGAAAACTCTAATGAGTTGGGCATTATATTCTAATGGCGAGACACGCTAAAGCAGCAATTCCATAAACGAACAGAGCGCACATTTAAGGGGGAAAGGGGCACGTAGGGAGGGCTTCTTTGAGGAAGCAATATTTAAGCTAAGATGTGAAGATGAACGGGTAACAACAAGGATGAAGGGTTAAAGCCCATATTTCAGGCTTGGTCGACTGGATGGTTAGAGTCATTCATTGGTAAAGGAACTGCGGATGGGAACCAGATTTGGAGGAAAGTTAACCACCCGCATTTATTTACTGGGGTCCTAGTATGTTGCCAAGCGCTTCACAAATTCCTCTAATCATTTTGCACAGCAGAAGCTATTACTTTCAGTTTCATACACAAAAGAGAGGCTGAGCGGGGTTAAAATGACGTGCCCAAGACGAAATAAAGAAATCTGACTTTTGTAATCAGGTTTGTATGTGCTCGAAAGCCCGCGCTCTTTCCACTCCACAGCTCCTTCCTGTGCACCTCCCTTTCATCTGGTGGCCCTAGCGCCACAAGCTGCCGCTTAGGAAGTCCCTGCCGGGAGCAGAAGTGGAGACATCAGCAGGATGGCATCGGCAAGTCGCTCCCCTCCCGGGCCTCATCTGCCAAACGATCATCTCCTCCTCCGAAGTTGTATGCATGACAGGCGAGTGGAAACTTCACTAAAATGAAGGCGATTGACACAACAGAAGGAACTCCATCCTTTCGGGGGCTTACGAAAATAATAAGTTTAAAAAAAATAGGAAGGGAATTCCCTCGCTCCATGATCACTGAGCGCTCTCCTAAGGAAAAGGAAATCTCCCGGGGGGTGCCGACTACGGGCGGCGGGCTTAGGATGCTCCCACGCTCCCCGACCCCCAATCCCCAGGACCCGCAGGACCTCCGGAGGAACGCCCGCCAGCCCGCCCGGAGCCACGCGGCACAAGGTGACACGGACCGCGCCGCGCGGGCCCCTCAGCCGCCTGGGCGAGGCCGGGAGCAGGGAGAGGGGCATCCGCCGGCCCGCGGTACCTTGTACTTATCAAAGCCAGCCAGCTGCTCCGGGCTCACGTATTCGTAGCCAGCCATGACGACCCGAAAACTGAGCGCCCACTCGGCAGCGACTCCCGGCTACAAGGCTGTGACACACAAGCACCACACCGGCTGGGCAAGGATGGCAAAGACTGGGCTGCCCGAGAAGGTAGGAGAGCCGCGCTCCGCCCACCGCGCACGCGTAGCCGCCTCGGCCCCTTCGGCCGCCTCTCAGTGCGCAAGCGCAGCCCACGCTTCTCCCCGCCCATCGAGGGGGGGTTGCTAGCCCGCTCGAGCGGCCCGTCCCCCGACACTGCTGTTGTCCAATCGGCGTGGATCAGGCAACACTAAGTCCCGCCTTCCAGCTCTCTTCGTCGCTTCATTTGCTAGCGTCAAAATTGGTGAGCTGAGGTAAGGCAAGAGAGGGGGTGAAAGGTCAATTTCCCAGCGGGCTTTGCTCCCGGTCCCGGGGGAAGGTGGGATTTCTGTGGTATCCGCACTTGCGTGGTGATCTGGGGTATACCGTTTTAGTCTTGGGGGTAGAGTGACTGCTTGCGAACCAGTTCAGCAGTGCCTCAGGTAAGAGGACTTAGTTCTCCCGCTGCAGCGAAGTAAAAGAGGAAGGAGGTCTGTACCGCGAGCCGCTCCCAGCTCCTGGTGCGGTGCGCTGCGTGCCGTAGAAATTTAGTAAACGTGGTTAGATGTAGAGAAGGCCGAGCTGCTGCCGGGGCCACGGGAGTCTTTGTGCGGTCAGCAGAGGGACTTGAAAGACAGGTGAAAGGACATTGGAGACAAGCCCCTCAGGTCTATGTTGCTTAGGAACCTTGGACCGCCTCATCGCACTCCGCTCTATCAAACCGTTCCAAATTAAGATTGCTGGTGTCTCCCGACCAGATAAAAGCAGTGATCTCTCAGTCTCGACGAGTCCTTAAATGCGTTTGCAAGAGGTGTTTTACATAACTGGAGCCCAGTTAATTGTAAAACAAACAAACAAACAAAAAACACTAGATCAATGGCTAGTGAGTATCTACTAATAAAATTTTATAATAGTTGCTGCTTTTTATTGAGCGCCTTCTGTGGGGAGAACTTCACATACATTATCAACCCCATAACAACACTGAAGTGAAAGGCATTATCCCCTTTTTCAGATTAGGCAGCCTGCCCAGAGTCACTTAGTTACGAAGCTCGGAAATGATCGACCCAACATGAAATGAGTTCTGTGTTATGGGAAACCACTACTTCAGGGAGCCTTTCAGTCTCTCTGGGTCTCTGAAATAAGGGCGATTATTTTGAGATACTTTTATGTTCATTCGTTTAACAACTATTTATTGGGGACCCGAGATATGCCAAACACAGTATTATTACTACATGTCTAATCTCCCCTCCTAAAGCATGATTCTTAGAAAGTAATAGATAATCTTATACCTGGTATATGGTAGATAATAAGCTTCTCCCCGCCCCCTGAGACAGGGACTGACTCACCCAGGCTGGAATGCAGTGACGTGATCACGGCTCACTGCAGCCTCGACCTCCCCTGGCTCAGGTGATCTTGCTTCCGTCTCCCAAGTAGCTAGAACTACAGGCGCACACCACCACACCCGGCTAAATTTTTTGCATTTTTTGAAGAATGGGCGCCCGCCAACCAATAAACTTCAGTGTCCTTTATCACACTTGCCCTCGAGGGCAGTATTTGCATCTTATACATCTTAATTTTCCCCATGTTCCATAACCCAGGGGGCTTGCAAATAATACATGATCAACGTATTTTATTGAATGAATGAGCAAAGATCTCTTTGATATGCTGTGAAGTACCAGTTTTGAGAAGAACATTAGAAATGAGAGTCTCGGCCAGGCGCGGTGGCTCACGCTTGTAATCCCTACACTTTGGGAGCCTGAGGTGGAGGGATTACTTGCGATCAGGAGTTTGAGACCAGCCTGGACAATATGGTGAAACCTCGTCTCAACTAAAAATACAAAAACTAACCGGGTGTGGTGGCACGCGCCTGTAGTCCCAGCTACTCAGGTTATTGAGGCAGGAGAATCGCTTGAGCCTGGGAGGTGGGGTTACGGTGAACCGAGATTGTGTCACTGCGCTCCAGCCTGGGCGACAGAGCAAGACTCCGTCTCAAAAACAAAACCAAAAAAACCCTTCATACTTGTAAAACTTAGTTAATTGTGGAAAGCCATAAAATGTGACTTCAGTGCAAGCTAATAATAGTTTATAAACTGCACTTATTGTTTATCAGTTCAGATATAAGCAAACTCAAAATGACATGATTGATTCTTAAAATTGTTTTCTACCTCTGATATTTTCTTTAAAAGCACTTTTTAAAACAGTAACTTTTAATTTTGTGAAAGCAGTTACAATTTGCTGCTTCTCTGCATAAGGTTGTAACAAGTTTGAATCAATTATAAATTCATCTGATAATTTATAAGCTGAAGCATAACCCAGAAATTGGTTTATACTTTGACATGTTACTGGCTGTGTAATCTCAGACAACTTACTTCACTTAGCCCCAGTACTCTTTTTCAAAAAGAGGGTATTTGGGCCGGGCGCCGTGGCTCACGCCTATAATCCCAGCACTTTGGAAGGCCGAGTCGGGCGGATCACGAGGTCAGGAGATCGAGACCATCCTGGCTAACACGGTGAAACCCCGTCTCTACTAAAAATATAAAAACAAAATTAGCCGGGCGTGGTGGCGGGTACCTGTAGTCCCAGCTACTCGGAAGGCTGAGGCAGGAGAATGGTGTGAACCCGGGAGGCGGAGCTTGCAGTGAGCCGAGATCGCGCCACTGCACTCCAGTCTGGGTGACACAGCGAGGCTCTGTCTCAAAAAAATAAAAAAAAAAAAGATCATTTGATCCTAAGATCTAATTCGATCCATTAGAACCTATTAGGTACTACGATCCTATTCATCTCTGAAATTCAGTGAAACTGTATATCATATAACTTCTCTGAGATTAAGTCATCTCATCTGGGAAATCTTGTCTTACCTACAATGATATGGCCCCAGTCTGTTCAATTAAATTCATACAAATTTAAGATATTAGTCATGCTCCATATAACCATGTTTCCGTCAATGAGGGACCACATGTGGTCCCTTAAGATTATAGTGGAGCTGAAAAATTTCTGTCATCTAGTGACATCCTAGCTGTCAAAATGTTGTAACACAAGGCATTACTCACGTTCGTGGTAATGCTAGTGTAAACAAACCTACCGCGCTGCCAGTCATCTAAAAGTATAGCACATATAATTATGTACACTACTGAATACTTGATAATAACTAACTGTCTTACTGGCTTTTGTATTTACTATCAGAGCATATCCTGTCATTAAGTGATGCATGACTGTATTTTCGCAGAATTCTGTGAATCCTAAACCCGGCAGGCATGGTCACGTGGGAAGAGAAAAATGTCATGGAAACAAATTTGCCTTTGGAACTAAGTCACCTTTCTGTTTCCTCGTTCCCAAATTTTATTCCAGGAGGCATTTTTCCCTAAGGCAGCCCAGCTGCCCCGGACTGCTTTAGATTGGCCTTGTTATTCCCATCTGTGCTCTACACGCCACATTCCTGAGTGTAGTTTATTATTGCTTTGTTTCCCATGTCTGCCTCTTCATCCATTGAAGTTTATTTCTTCTACATCTTGTACACTCAAGATCAGGCATTTTGCCTTCCAGAATAATAATCATAGAAAATATCAATTCGTGCTAGAAACAATATTTTTATTTTTATAATATAACCAAAATAAAGTGTTTTAAGTTCCTGGAGTGCCTGTTTTATTTAGTCTGAATAAGAGTGTATCAGATAAATGGAGACAGCCAAAAAATATTGGAGGTTAATTAAGGACTAATGTAGTTAATAACTCCAATATAAGTTACTGAAGCCATAAAAATGGGCAGGGTCTTCCAAAGAAGTTTGTAAAAAGGTATTGATTTAGTTCTCATTTTAAAATAAAAATGAATGCCTTATACACATAAACTCTGGTTCTCAAAGCAGTTTCACATGACTAACAATCCTGAGCCATGGGCCTGATGGCTGTTCCAATTGTATAGAGTGGAACAATAGAATAGTAATATATCTTACCAAAAGTCACCCAGGAAAGAGGAACACAGGTCATCAGACTTTTAGTTGAATAATTTTCCACTACACTATGCTTCTACAAGTTGATGGTAAGATATTAAAAAAAAAAAATCACAAGTCAGTTGTTTTTTTTTTGAGATGGAGTCTTGCTCTGTCGCCTAGGCTGGAGTGCAGTGGCGCAATATCAGCTCACTGCAATCTCCGCCTCCCGGGTTCACGCCATTCTCCTGCCTCAGCCTCCCAAGTAGCTGGGACTACAGGCACCTGCCACCATGCCCGGCTAATTTTTTGTATTTTTAGTAGAGACGGGGTTTCACCGTGTTGGCCAGGATGGTCTCGATCTCCTGACCTCGTGATCTGCCCGCCTCAGCCTCCCAAAGCGCTGGGATTACAGGTGTGAGCCACCGCGCCCAGCTCACAAGTCAGTTTTTAATCAAATTCCAGCATGCTGAAAGGCTGAGAAAGGAGGGTCCCTTGAGCCCAGGAATTCAAGACCAGCCTGGGCAACATAGGGAGACCCTGTCTCTACCAAAAAAAACAAAAAGGAACTCCCCAGTTATTATAGTAAATCTTCTCAAGTGGGGTTTTGTTTGCCTGTTTTTTGCTATATTTTACATTTTTCAATCATAATCCTCTTAGGTAAGAATGTAAAGGGAACTGTATGAGTGGGTCATCAGTCATATTTTTGTCACAGAAAAAGTCTACGCAATATAATGAGATTCAGCGTAAGCTAATACCTCCTACTTCCTATGTTGCTGGGGGAGGATGGTGTCTCTGCTATTTTGTGACTTATTCTCAACTAGCTTCTCAGTGGTGTTTGTTTGTTTCTCAAGATGGAGCCTCATTCTGTTGCCCAGGCTGGAGTGCAGTGGCGCGATCTTGGCTAACCGCAACCTCTGCCTCCTGGGTTCAAGCGATTCTCCTGCCTCAGACTCTGAGTAGCTGGGACTACAGGCGCCCGCCACCATGCCTGGCTAATTTTTGTATTTTTAGTAGAGATGGGGTTTCACTATGTTGGCCAGGCTGGTCTCAAACTCCTGACCTCAGGTGATCCACCCACCTTGGCCACACAAAGTGCTGGGATTACAGGCGTGAGCCACCTTGCCCGGTCTTCTCAGTGGTTTTATGGCCATTTTTGTGGTCTTAACCTACCAAACCAGTAGTGTCAGTAGTCATTCGAAGTCTAGAGACAGTTTAAACATTCAGAGGGACCCAGTGTGATATGAGGCAAGAGTAAAATCACAGGTCTAGTAATTTAGACCATCTACATATTTGCCATTCTTTTTTTTTTGAAGGCAAGTGATTGTTTCTTTGTTATAACCATTACTCATGAGCATGTCTGTTAAATAAAAGAAGCATTATTTTAAAAACTGATTGCAGGCAAAGTTTTACACTGGGCAAAGTCTTATTTTCATCATTCTTGAAGTTCTGGTAGTGAACCAGCATCTGTATTCTATGAATGGAGGAAGAATTAATACCTCTCCCACACACACATCCTCCTCCCCTTTATTACTCCACTAAAACGGAAGCAGAACTGTAGGTAAAGAGAGAACAAATCATTCAGATGAGTAGCCGTAGGGGCATCACCTCTGCGATCCTTTCTCTTTATTTTTGTTTGGCAATGTTAATCTCATCTAATGTCAGGTATGCAGATGCAACCAAATGTAACCACTGTTCTTTTTTAATTTCAGTTTGAACACACAGCTGTGCAAGGGCCTTCATTTTTGAATGAGGATTATTTTCACCTTCATGAAACTTTGAGATTATTGGATCAATGGTCATTCGGTTTTGGTGAAAGAGAAAGTCACTAGGAGAAAAAAAAAATCCTAAGTGGAACAAGAGAGTAAAGAACATTGTTATAATTCATATAATTCATTTTTCCTATAGGAATTCTGGAAATACTGGGGTTAAGGCAACAGTGGCCAACATAGAGCTCTACTACCTAAGACTTTCACTTTTTCCTTGACATGTATAACTAAGGCTATGTGGCCTGTTTGACCAGAACTCTAATGGAAGCTGGCTCTATTTTTTTTTAAATCAGACACTGTTGTCTATAAGTCTAGAAAACAAGATATACAAATAGGAAACAATATGTAAAATTGCAATTGAACACAGGTCGGGATGCTCACTGCTTGCAGAGTCTAACAAGAGCGAAGTCTGGTAGAAAGAAAATGATTTGATTAACCAAAACTGGTAAAGGGAAAGTGGCCAGATTTCTATCCAAAGGAATCGTTTCAATTTTTGAAGGGAAAGCAGAGGTTTAAAACGGGAAAACTTGATAAGGAAGGCATGTGAGAATTGTGCTGAGTACAATGTGGGTCTTGTTCTGGTGGCTCTCTTGGGTCCTAATCCACCTGGAATGCGGGCTGATGTCATCTCAACAATGGCCAGGTTGTTAACTAGCTGCCTTGAATTCGTCTCTGGAATTTTGCAGTTGGGTCTCCAGGCTTGGTCTGCCTATCTCAAGATTAGCCCCCGGAACTTCTAAGAAGGCGTATAATTAGATACTAGCATGCAGTTAGATAAATGTGAAGGGAGTATATACCATGAGAAACAGAGGGACCATGGAGTCTATATCAAGGCTAAGGGAAAAGGCTTCTGCAGTTTGCTTCAAAATTACGTCTTAAAACCCAAGAGGAAAGAAAAAAATATACATTAAAATGCAGTTTTGGGGGTGTGTTGTTTTGTTTTGTTTTGTTGGTTTGTTTGTTTGAGTCAGATTCTCACTCTGTCACCCAGGCTGGAGTGCAGTGGCACGATCTTAGCTCACTGCAACCTCTGCCTCCCGGGATCAAGCGATTCTCAAGCCTCAGCCTCTCATGTAGCTGGGATTACAGATGCGCCACCACGCCCAGCTAATTTTTTGGTATTTTTAGTAGAGGTGGGGTTTCACCATGTTGACCAAGCTGGTCTCGAACTCCTGACCTCAAGTGATCCACCCACCTCGGCCTCCCAAAGTGCTGGGATTACAGGCATGAGCCACCATGCTCAGCCCTTAAAATGCATTTTGAAGTTAAGGGACCCAGTTACAAAAGTAACAACTTCATTTTCTTTCTTTTCTTTGCTTTGCTTTTTTTTTTTTTTTTTTTTTTTGTGACGGAGTCTTACTCTGTTGCCCAGGCTGGAGTGCAGTGGCGCAATCTTGGCTCACTGCAACCTCCGCCTCCTGGGTTCAAGCAATTGTTCTGCTTCAGCCTGTGACTACAGGTGCACACCACCAATTTTTGTATTTTTAGTAGAGACAGGATTTCACCATGTTGGCCAGGATGGTCTTGATCTCCTGACTTTGTGATCCGCCCACCCCAGCCTCCCAAAGTGCTGGGATTACAGGCGTGAGCCACCGCACCCAGCCAACAACTTCATTTTCTTTTCATGTATCCTTATTGAACACTGTGTACCAAATACAAATTCCATGATGGACATGGAGATACAAAGCTGAAAAAGACTGCCGGATACGGTGGCTCATGCTTATAATCCCAGCACTTTGGGAGGCCAAGGCAGGCAGATCACCTGAGATCGGGAGTTTGAGACCAGCCTGGCCAACATGGAGAAACCCCATCTCTACTAAAAATACAAAATTAGCCGGGCGTGGTGGCACATGCCTGTAATTTAAGCTACTCGGGAGGCTGAGGCAGGAGAATCACTTAAACCTGGGAGGCAGAGGTTGCAGTGAGCCGAGATCGTGCCATTGCACTCCAGCCTGGGCAACAAGAGCGAAACTCCGTCTCAAAACAAAACAAAACAAAGTTGAATAAGACATGGTCCCCAAGCAGGGAGAAGTTATTATTGCACTCTGAAAATGACCAGCATCATCCAGTGCTCTGGCTCATCATTTTACTCTCTCTCTCTTTGTTTTTTTAGAGACAGGGTCTCACTCTGTTGCCCAGGTTGGCCTCAAACTCCTGGACTCAAGCAATCCTCCCACCTTGGCCTCCCAAGTAGCTGGGACTACAGGTGTGCATCACCATACCTGGCCATATTTCTATCTTTTTTTCATCCTCCTGTCTACCTCTCTTCTCCGTTTTTTAAATCCACTGTGAAGGTGTGGAATATTTTGTCTTGGACAGAGAATTGACTTAAAGACAGGAAACAAAGGCTTAAAATCAAAAGAAAATTCTAAATAAAGACTTTGAGATCACATAGGGATTTATTTATTTATCTATTTATTTATTTATTTTATTTTTGAGACCGAGTCTTGCTTTGTTGCCCAGGCTGGGAGGGCAGTGGCACGATCTCGGCTCACTGCAACCTCTGCTTCCTGGGTTCAAGTGATTCTCATGTCTCAGCCTCCCGAGTAGCTGGGATTACATGCATGTGCCACCATGCCTGGCCGATTTTTGTATTTTTAGTAGAGACAGGTTTTCGCCATGTTAGCCAAGCTGGTCTCAAACTCCTGGCCTCAAGCGATCCGCCTGCCTCGGCCTCCCAAAGTGCTGGGATTATAGGTGTGAGCCACCACACCTGGCCTGATTTAATATTTTGATGAATAATCTAGAAAGTGGGGTATGGAAACAGCTCTTCACATTTACTCACGATACTTAGCCCTTCATGATGAAATGCCTTATGAATAGACACAGACTACAAGAAAATACATTTTTAAAATAAGCAGTTTTAAAAGTTATGTTTTGCCATGTAACAAGTTACTCAAAATTCAGTAGCCTAAAATAAGAACCATTTTATTTGCTCATAATTCTGTGGGTCAGCAATTTGGAATGGGCTTAGCTGAGCAGTTTTGCTGGTCTTGCTAGATATGCTAATTAGCTTGACTGTGGTAATCATTTCACACTGTTCTCCATATCAAAACATCACATTGTACACCTAAAATAAATACAATTTTTATCTGTCAATCATATCTCAATGAAGCTGGGAGAACAATAAAGTGGAAGCTACAAGGCCTTTGTCGGCCTAGGTAAAATACCACACAATGTTGCTTCTGTTGCCTTCTGCCAGACAAAGCAAATCACAAGGCCAGTGCAGAGTCACGAAGGAGAAATAGATTCCACTACTTAATGGATGGAATGGCAAAGTCACACAGTGTGGGGCCTGCAGAAAAGTATAGGACAATCACTGCCCCTATATTTGTAAACAATCTACCACTTCAGATTAGCTGCTGTCGCTAAAAATACAGTAAGTAGGCTTCATGAAAAGACTTGCAAACCACTGACTTACACCTAGATCACTTTCAAATATTCAGAGAAAGAACGGCAAAAACTCTTGTCATTGGCTTTTTTTAGTCATCATAAACTATCTCTTACTTCCAAACCTCCCACTTGCTCTTCACTCATCTTCAGTCCATTTCCAACCCCATAGATGCCACTGAAATGGCTACTGCCAGGTTCCTCCTCTTTGATGCTGAGTCAAATGGACACTTTCAGACATAACTTACTGGGGTTGTCTTCCACTTATCCTGCCCACTGTTATTTCCTTGAAACTTCCTCCCTTCTCCCTTGATTGCTTTTTTTTTTTTTTTTTTTTTTTTTTTTTTATGGAGTCTCACTCTGTCACCAAGGTTGGAGTGTAGTGCCAAGATCTTGGCTCACTGCAACCTCCACCTCCTGGGCTGAAGAGATTCTCCTACCTCAGCCTCCAGAGTAGCTGGGACTACAGGCACTTGCCACCACGCCCAGCTAATTTTTGTATTTTTAGTAGAGACAGGGTTTTGCCATGTTGGCCAGGCTGGTCTCGAACTCCTGACCTCAAGTGATTCACCCATCTCGGTCTCCCAAAGTGCTTGGATTACAGGCATGAGCCACTGCGCCTAGCCTCCCTTGATTGCTTTGAATTTAATTACTCTTGTCGTCATTCTCTCCGACCCTTCCTTCCAACAGACACACATACACACGCACACACACATACATACAAACACACACTCACACACACACACACACACACTCTTGATCTCCCCAGAATGCAGGATTATTCATAAATCGCCAAACATTTCAGGTTGCATATACAAAGCTTCTGTTCCTTTGTTCGTGACTGGTTAACTCCCTCTCAATCTTCAAGATTCATCTTAAGTTTCATTTCTCCCAAGAAGCCTTTTTTGTCCCAGTTGGCAACCTACTTCCAGCTCCCCACACTGTGTTCCCACAGCATCCTGTGCATACCTTTATGTTTATGTTAGGAAATTATCTATTCTTTTCTGTCTTACTGGACTCTAAGTGCCTTGAAGGTAAAGACCAAATCTGTATACCTCTGAGTCTGTAAGATAATGCCTCATACCCAGCAAGACCTCAGTAAGCATTGAATTAAGTTGTACTGTGAAGGAATAAGGACATATATGGCACTGGCAGCAACAAGTGCTATTAACATAAAACTCTTCCTACTTATTAACCTAGTAATCCCACTTTGAAAGAATATACTTCCAGGAAATGATCTGCAAGAAAAAAATCTTGTTGCAAAGACCTATAAGGAGCCATATTTTGTAACTGCAGAGGGGAAAGCAGGCAATCAAATGCCCAATTATATAAGAACTTAAACTGTAAACTATAGTAAATTAATGTCGTAAGATACATCATTATTAGAAAGAGAAATAAGTGAATGTAAAAAAATGGGAAAAAAAAAACAGCGTTGGCAAGGATGTGGAAAAATTGGAAGCCTCATGCAATGCTGGTGGAAATGTAAAATGGTACAGCTCCTGTGGAAAAATGCTTGATAGTTCCTCAAAAAGTTAAACATATAGTTACCTGACCCAGTCATTCTACTCCAAAAACTTGTACATGAATGTCCGTAGTAGCTATTCATAATAGCCAAAAAATGGAAAGAAGCCAAATGCCCAGCTGCTGAATGGATAAATAAAATGTGTGTGTCCATGCAACTGTTCAGCCACAAAAAGGAATGAAGTAATGATATATGCTACAGCACGAACTTGAAAACATTATGCGAAGTGAAAGAAGCCAGACACAAATGGCCATATAGTGTATGGTTCCATTTATAGGAAATGTGCTTTGCTTTGCTCTATGGCAAATCCATAGAAACAGAAAGCTGATTAGGGGATGGGGCAGGGAAGGATTGGGAATAACTAATAAGTGTGAGATTTCTTTTAGGGATAATGAAAATGTTCTGGAATTAGGTAGTGATGAAGATTGCACAAAATTGTGAATATACTAAACACCATTGAAATGTACTCTTTAAAAGGGTGAATTTTATCTCAATTTTTAAAAAGGGGAAATTGATTATTAATGTTATATTAAAAAGAAAAGCACATCGTGAGGGAGGAAAAAAGCAAAGCACAAAATAACATATGCATACCTGTTACAACTAAAAATGTATTTATTGATAACCAGGGAAAAAGACAGAGGATGTCATGAATTCGGTGTTTTTAATTTGTGGGCATTTTATCATTGTAGATAAAGTTGCTTAAAATTTAGTACTTTTACAGGCATATCTACCAGAACATTATTGCAAATTATGCAAAGCTAAAATGTAGACCTATAAAGTCCTACATGATAAGGTAACTATAGGTTCTATGGTTTTATAATATGAAGTAGGAGAGGACAAGTCATTGCGTTAATAGAATGCTTGTTAGGATAACCTGTGTTTTAATGGCGGGGAGATGATCAAAGGGACTCAATGTGAACATCAACAAATTACCCATATAAGATTTATCTTCCTGGTTTTGGCATGAGAATAGGAATGCAAAATGCTAAAGGGGTGTTTTGAGAAGCAAGCCCTTGAGGTAGCCACCAGCTAGTTTTCTCTTGAAAGCAATCAGGAGAAAGTAATCAGGAGGATGTGAATTAACAGCTTTTCTAGAGGAATTTGAAATAAAGAATGAAGGCATTAAGAGGTACTCTAAAGTCTAAATTGCTACAAAGGGGTAAGGCTTGCAAATAAGAAAATAGCTCAAAAACCACAGGGAAAATTAGGATTAAAGCATTGTGGGTGGTTTTTTAAATTTACTTTTTTTTTTTTTTTTTGAGATGATAGCTTGCTGTCTTGCCTAAGCTGGTCTTGAACTCTTGGACTCAAGTGATCCTCCTGCCTTAGCCTCCCAAGTAGCTGGGACTATAGCTGTGTGCTGCTGAGCCTGGCTAACTACTAAAGGTGATTTTTAAAAATCCTATCCTTGTACAGGTACAACCCTTTAAATTTTAGTTGGACACAGTGGCTCACGCACTTTAGGAGGCTGAGGCGAGCAGATCACTTGAGGTCAGGAGTTCGAGACCAGCCTGGCCAATATGGTGAAACCCCATCTCTACCAAAAATACAAAAAAAAAAACTAGCTGGGCGTGGTGGCGTGTGCCTGTAATCCCAGTACTCAGGAGGCTGAGACAGAATTGCTTGAACCTGGGAAGTGGAGGTTGCAGTGAGCCGAGATTGCACCACTGCACTCCAGCCTGGGCAACACAGCCAGACTCTGTCTTAAAAAAAAAATAGTAAATAAAATACATTTTATGAAATCCTGTTCTTGTACAGGTACAGCCCTTTAAATTTTATTTTATGCTAGAAGTAAGAACTTTTGTGTTAGAAAACCTAGGTATGTATTAGAATAAGTGATTGTCTGCTAAGAGAAGGCATCTGTGGCTGGGGATCCCCATAACCACTGGTTGCCACAACTGCTGCTCTGACACTGGGGTGCTCCTGTCCCTGGAGGAATTGCTCCCTGTGACATAATAAGAAATACATATTTGTTCTCTGCCCTGTTTAGGAGTCTTCAAAATGTAAGGTCTTTTTGCGTGCTAATGAGATGACTGGTACCTAGGGGCTCCTGGATAACCTCAGGATGGTTGCCAGGGGAACCAACCACGTGATTAGAGGCTAGGAACTTTCCACCTACCCCAGATTTAAGAGGAGAGGTTGGTACCCAATCTCATTTTTATGTGGCCTAAGTATTGTGTGATCAATTCTCTTATGTTCAGCAATTGTGACCCATCAAATGGCCTACACCTATATCATAATACCAACTGGACTCAAGGAGCCCATCCTGCTTTCTAATCAAAGGATATTTATAAGGGATTAACTTGAGTGTTCTAAGAAAAACTTGATACTGGAAAGAATCTTGCTCATAACAAAACATGCTTTCCAAAGAGCACTGTGAATGGTTCTGGAGTAGAGGCAATAAGTCGAGGAAGTATTTCACTGGTTACAAGTACTAGGGAGGTGGAAGATTTAGGGAAAACCTGGAAGGAAATATTTTCCTAGGAGAGGAGGGAGTGTTGATGAATACCTGTGGTTCCTTAGGCATTCAAGTTTGAATTAACTTTCAGTTTATCTTGTCGGAGAAACAAACAAGCAAACAATACAGTTATAATACAAAATTTAAAACTTTCTTAATCTTTGAGATTTGAGGGTTAGCCATGGAGGCTAGTGCCTATAATCCCTGCACTTTGGGAGGCTGAGGTGGGAGGATTGCTTGAGACCAGGAGTTCAAGACCAGCCTGGGTAACATAGTGAGACCCTGTCTCTGCAAAAATAGAAAAAAAAATTAACATAAAGTTTGGTTATAACTTTGTATATATATTTTTTGAGACAGACTGTCACTCTGTTGTCCAGGCTGGAGACCAGTGGCATGATCACAGCTCACTGTAGCCTTGACCTCCTGGGCTCTGGTGATCCTCCCACCTCAGCCTCCCAAGTAGCTGGGACTACAGGCACATACCACCATGCCCAGCTAATTTTTCTATTTTTTGTAGAGACGGGGTTTCACCATGTTGCCCAGGCTGGTCTCAAACTTCTGAGCTTATGGGACCTACCCACCTTGGCCTCCCAAAGTGCTGGAATTACAGGTGTGAGCCACCATGCCTGGCCTAATTTTGTATTCATCACTTTTTGTTTTGTGCTATTTCTTTTCAAGTAGTTGCTCTCTAGTTTGTTGGCTTCCCATCCTGCTTTCCAGTATGGACAGCCCTTCATGATCTAATTCCACCTCCATTTCTATTCACACCTCTGGCAGCAATGATCCCAAACTGCAGTACTGTAGTTCTCTGACAGCACAACAATCTGCATCATACCTGTGTACTTTTAATTGTGTTTCCCAGTGTCTAAAATGTCTGTCCCCTCACAAGGCAAACTCGTTTACCCAACTACTGAACAGATCTCTATTTTAACACATTCCAGTGTAGAAGTCTGGGGAATAAAAGAAGTTAAAGTGTTCTAAACTCCTTGAGATGTCAAAGACGCATGTTATCATCTCTAAAGAAACTTTCTAAATAAGTGGTAAAAATATGTGTAACTAAAAGCTAATGGGGGAGGAGTTCAAATGAGATAATTATAAAAAGAAATTAACTCAAAACAGGGAAATAAGGGAGAAAAAAAGGAGCAGAAAAAGTGGACTAAATAGAAAACACATAGACAACAGATTTAAACTTATCAGTGATTATAATTGACTATAAATAGCATAAATGATTTAATAAAGGTAAGGGTAGTCTAACTGATTAAAAAAAAAACTAAACCAAAATATGTGCTATTTATAACAGATATCTAAAGGTTTTTTGTTTGTTTCTTTTGTTTTGTTTTTGCCTTTTGTTTTTTGTATTTTAAAGATTGGTCTCACTCTGCACCCAGGCAGCAGTACAGCGCACAATCATAGCTCACCGCAGCCTCAAACTCTTGGGCTCAAGTGACTCTCCCACCTCCGCCTCCCAAGTAGCTGGGATTACGGGTACACACCACTGTGCTCAGCTCAGAATACATATACTTTTTTGTCTGTTTGTTTTTGAGATGAAGTTTTGCTCTTTCACCCAGGCTGGAGTGAAGTGGTGCAATCTCGGCTCACTGCAACCTCTGCCCCTGGGTTCAAGCCATTCTCCTGACTCAGCCTCCTGAGTAGCTGGGATTACAGGTGCGTGCCACCCCGCCCAGCTAATTTTTGTGTTTTTAGTAGAGACAGGGTTTCGCCATGTTGGTCAGGCTGGTCTTGAACTCCTGACCTCAGGTGATCCACCCGCCTCGGCCTCCTAAAGTGATTACAGGTGTGAGCCACTGCGCCTGGCCACACATACTTTTTTATTACATACAGAACACTTACAAAAGCTGTCCATAAGCTGGCCCATAAAACGGACCTCAAAAATGTTAAAGATTGATAATCATAAAGATGATCTTCTCTGACAAGAATGCAATCAAGCTAAAGGCAGTAACAAAAATATAACCAGAGAATTTCTTTTGTTTAGAAATTAAGACATAACACTTCTAAGTAGCCGACAAAGAAGAAATCAAAAGGGAAATCAGAAAATATTTTGAATGAAATAATAAAAATACATATCAAAATTGTGAGACGCAGGGGCCCAGTTCTAGAAAAGATGGAGTAAGCATCCTCCACCCTGTCTCTCCCACTGAGTGAAGATGCACGGAACTGATATTTGAGGACTCTAGAAAGTAAATAGTAGCAGGTGGATTGGGGAAGAAGTCCAGAATTCAACATACCACCGAACTGGTGGTGAGCTTCACATTTTTTCTTCTGGTATGCACTGGCCTGAACTCAAGGCAACCTCAAATCCAGAAATGGGCAATTGCACAGACAGACAGAACTACAGAAGAAACCCCCTAGGTCTGGCTCAAGGAGAGGGAAGGAAGACCCTAACACTCAGAGAGAGTGGAGGAAATTCTACCTTTTTTTTCTTTTTTCTCTGTTCTTTCACACCCAGCCTCTAAGCAATCCCATGGCAGCAGTGGCGGTGAGGATCCGCAGGAGCCGAGAACTCTGAGGGAGGGGAACTTCCTCTGATCAGAATTTATGGTGCCAAGAGGGCAAGGCAAACCTCCATTGCTTTTTGTCTCTGCTACAAGGCCCCACCTGTGAACAGTCACAGTAAGTGCATGGTAAAGCAGGGAAATAAAGCCCTGGATTTCTGGCCAGAGAACCAAAAAGAGGAGTCCCAGGGAATCAGAAAGTACTAGAATGACCAGAAAGGAAGAGGACAAGAAGATGACCCCAGACAGTTTTATGAGCTCCTGGGATCACTTCCCAGTTGTACAGGCGTGGATCTGACTCTAAACCACAAACCACCAGCAGAACTGCACTAAGAGATCGACCATCCATCACGCAGGTCCCGGGCCGGCCACTGGGTGGCACACATCTGCAGAAGATCTGAATAGCACCGTAAAGGTTTTGAAATGAGAATTGATGTTGAAAGAAGCACAGTCCGCAGTAGGTTGATCAGAACTTGTGATTGAACCAAGCCAGGTAGATTACCTGCTAAAAAAGAAACATTAACACTTCCCACAGGTTTTAAACAAGATCCAGAGTCTCATAACATAATATTCAAAATTTCCAGGATAAAACTCAAAATTAACTGGCATTTGAAGAACCTGGAAATCTCAACTCACATGGGAAAAAACAATCAACATTTACCAATGCTGAGATGACAAAGATGTTGGAATTATCTAAAAAAGACATTAAAGTACCTATTACAAAAGTGCCATAAGTAAATGTGAACACTGTTTTAAAAACAAAAGAAAAGGCAAAAAGCCTCAAGGAGGAAATAGAAAATATAAAGAAGAACCAAATGGGAACTTTAGAACTGAAATATATAATAACCAAAAATGTAAAAGTTATTGCATGAGCTCTGTATTAAATTACTACCATGGCTGCTATAATAAATACCTACAAATGTAGTGACTTAAAACAAAACAAATGTATTATGTAATGTAATGTGTTCTGAGAGTGAGATGTGTGAAATGAATCTTACAGAGGTAAAATCAAGATGTCAGCAGATCTGCATTTCTTCTGGAAACCGCAGGGAAGAATCCATTTGCTTGCTCTTTCCAACTTCTGGAGCCTGTCATCAATCCTTGCCTCAAGGCCCTTTCCTTTATCTTTAAAGTGCATCAGTTTCACTGGACACAGTGGCTCACACCTGTCATCCCAGAACTTTGGGAGACCAAGGCAGGAGGATCATTTGAGCCCAGGAGTTTGAGACCAGCCTGGGCAACATAGTGAGACCCCATCTCTACAAAAAATAAAAATAAAAATTAGCCAAGCGTGATGACACACACCTGTGGTGCCAGCTACCCAGGAGGATGAGGCTCACTTGAGCCCACGAGGTCAAGGCGGCAGTGAGCCATGATTGTGCCACTGCACTCCAGCCTGGGCAACAGAGTGAGACCCTGTCTCAAAAAATAATTACATAAATAAAGTGCTGCATCAGTTCAACCTGTGCTTTTTTGTTTCTCACATTCGTGTCTCCCTTTTACAAGGACCCTTGTGATTACATTGGGCCCACACAGATTATCCGTGATAATATCCCTCTCAATATTCATAATTTAATCACATCTGCAAAATCCCTTTTGACATATACATTTACATATCCAGAAGTTCTAGGGATTTGCACATGGACATCTTTGGGTGGTCATTATTCTGTCTATCCAGGCTTAACAGCAGAACAGAGATGACAGAGAAAAAAGTCAGTCAACTTGAAGATAGATCAATAGAAATGATCCAATCTGAAAACCAGAGAAAAAAGATTGAAAACCTGAACAGAGCCACTGGGATCTGTGGATAAAATACTAAAAAGGCAGCTGGGCGCAGTGCCTCATGCCTGTAATCCCAGCACTTTGGGAGGCTGAGGCGGGCGGATCACGAGGTCAGGAAATCGAGACCATCTTGGCTAACAGGGTGAAACCCCGTCTCTACTAAAAATACCACAAAATTAGCCGGGTGTGGGCATGCACCTGTGGTCCCAGCTACTCAGGAGGCTGAGGCAGGAGAATCGCTTGAACCTGGGAGGCGGAGATTGCAGTGATCGGAGATAGCACTGCTGCACTCCAGCCTAGGCAATAGAGCGAGACTCCGTCTCAAAAAAAAAAAAAAAAACTAAAAAGGCCTAATAGTTGTGTCATTAGAGCGCCAGAGAAGAGGAGAAATAATTCAGTGCAGAAAAACAATTTGAAATAGTGGCTGATAAAAGACATAAATCTACAGAAGCAAAAGCTCGCCAAATCCAAAAAGGATAAGTCCAAAGAAAGCCCACCTTAAACACATCATAACTGCTAAAAACTAAAGTCAAAGAAAAAATCTTGAAAGCAGCCAAGGAAAAATGATAGATTACTTATAGGGGATCAATGAGTTATATGGCTGTGGATTTTGTTTTAGAAACCATGAAAGCCAGAAAGAAACAGAACAACACTTTTAAATACTGCAAAGACCATATATTTTAACTCCATTTTATTGATGTGAAAACTGAGGTCTAGAAAGATGAAGTGGTTGTCTCGAATCACAAGGCTCATTAATCCCATTCCTAATATAATGACCACTTTTCTACCATGCTGTGGTTTGAATGTGTCCCCCAAAGTTCATGTGTTGGAAACTTAATCCCTAATGCCACAGTGTTGAGGGGTGGAGACCTTTAAGAGGTGATTAGGTTGTGAGGACTCTGAGTCCGTTTTGTGTTGCAATAACAGAATACCACAGAGTGGCAAAATTTTTTTTTTTTTTAAAAGAAGACGTTTATTTCTTACAGTCCTGGAGTCCTCTGGGAGTAGGCTCCTAATAAAAGGATAAGTTAGGGCCCCTTTCCTCTTTCTCTCTCTGTCTTTGTCTCTCTCTCTCCCGCCCCCACCCCACCATCTCTCTCTCTCTCATGTGCTCTCTTGAATTTCCATCTTCTGCCATGGGATGACAGAGCAGGAAGGCCCTCACCAGGTGTGAGCCCCTCAACCTTGGACTTCTCAGCCTCCAGAGCTGTAAGAAATAAATGCCTTATTTAAAAAAAAAAAAGTTACCCAGTCTGTGGTATTCTGTTATTGCAACACAGAACAGACTCAGACGTACTGATACAGCATCCTTGGTTTTTCTGAGCATGTATTGATACATTCTTTTAGCTGCAAGTAACAGAAAGCTGCTCTATCCAGCTCAAAGGGAAATAATGAAAGGAAGTCAGGTTCTCTGAAGGAACTAAAGATCAAGAGTGCAAATGAACATCAGGGATAAACTGAATTTGAAGAGGAACTCACCTCATGTTTGTCTGTTTCTGTATCCACATTAGTTTTACTTTTCCTTGGAGCTCAGACTATTTTCCCAGTCCCCATGACAGAAAACCAAGAGCTGCTGAGTTTACAAGTTGTAGGCCCAACCCCAGACTCTCACTGGGTCCCAGTTCCAAAATTACCCCAGAAGAGAGAAATTGTTCCCACTTGGTTTTAGATGTGGACTGTACTGTAATCAGAGATTAGTGTAACCAAGTGTAAAACAGCTACTTTGGCCAAGCATGGTGGCTCACTCCTGTAATCCCAGCACTTCGGGAGGCCGAGGCAGGTGGATCACTTGAGGTCAGGAGTTTGAGACTAGCCTGGCCCACATGGTG
This sequence comes from Homo sapiens, assembly GCF_000001405.40. Classification (NCBI taxonomy): domain Eukaryota; kingdom Metazoa; phylum Chordata; class Mammalia; order Primates; family Hominidae; genus Homo; species Homo sapiens. Next base: position 26,326,965 of record NC_000002.12, on the reverse strand, counting down.
AAACCCCATCTCTAATAAAAATGCAAAAATTAGCCGGGAGTGGTGGTGGTCGCCTGTAGTCCCAGCTACTTGGGCTGAGGCAAGAGAACTGCTTGAACCTGGGAGACGGAGGTTGCAGTGAGCCAAGATTGTGCCATCTCACTCCAACCTGGGTGACAGAGAGAGACTCCATCTCAAAGAAAAAAGAAAAAGGCTACTTCCATGGTAAACCTGTGGTTATGGGCAGAGGGCAGTTTCTAAGAAATGAGTCAGAAAATAAGTAGAATATACTCATGAACAATAGGTTCTCAGTACAAGGACCTGCTATTTTTTGCCCTTGACACACATTTCTCTAGGGCTTCTAACAGGCTACTCAAAAATATTTTCTAGGTTTATTGACTTTATAAAATCTACTTACTTGTATATTTCATCATTAAATGAAGTTTTTCAGTTTTCCTGCTCACTAGAATATTGAAATAAGTTCACTACTGCATGGTTTGGCAGGGAATGCGTACTCACTTCTCCCATTTCCACAGAGGGAAAGGAACTTCCACTTCCAGAAGGATATATTTTCTGTTCCCTCTCCCTCTCACCAAAGCAAAAAGTGACTTATATCACTTTTTGACGTAAGGGGAACAGAGAGGGATTTCTGACCAGAGAACCAGAATATATCCTTCTGATAAGGATATATTCTGGTAAGACTTGGAGAATGAGCTCTGGGTGCCCCGTCTTTTGAAGTGGCCAGTCCTCCATACTTGTCCTCAGCTCCCCGTCCCCAGACAGGTAGACCTGGAGATGCCTTGCTGTGCCAGTGACTGAGTTAGTGAATTCAGTTCGAGGGGGATGTATTGGGAAGTACACTTGGCTCAGATCAAAATCACCTTCTCTCACTCAGCTTTTCCATTAATGAAGCTGACTCATGTCTGCTTTCCTATTAGTGACCCCTTTCCAAACCATAACACGTAGTTGTTGACTCAGAGAGAAAATTGTTCTTCTTTCATGGAGTAATACTACCATCTTGCAGCCGTCCAGGATTTGTATATCTTATATTTTTTATACTCACATTAGTCATCTTCTCTTATATGATTTCAGGATTTTGTCTCACACTTAGGTAGGTCATCTATACCTCCAAAATTATAAAATAATTTTCATTAATGGGTTTTAATAAATGGGGAATGGTACCTAACAGATACTTAAGTTTATAAGATTATAACCCTGAATTATGCCTTAAAATTAGTCAGGACCCTGGCTTAAGGATTTGAAATTATTTTATCTTTAGAAGAAACAGTTCTTCTCCACTCTAATGTCCTGGTCTCTCCATAGGTTTATTTGTATATAAGGTCAGCATGAAACTTTTGTGAAGACCCCACATCTTGTAAGAATCAAAGAAAGCATCAGAAATTTCATGAGTTTCTTCAGCTTCTCTAAGTTGTGCTCTTGAGGTACATAGCTTTAATATAAACGCTGAAGCAGGGTTTTCTGAACAGTCCCAGACAGCAAATGCAGGATCTCATTCTAGGGTCCAGACTTAGATACTTAAATTATAGATCTAAGGCTGTCATTATTCCTTCTGAATAAATTTACACCATTTCTTTTAACATTTTAATGTCAGAAATATCTTTTTTCCTATAAAGGCATATATAATGTGTCCAGCTTTTTGTTAAAATACCTCTTCTTGTCAAATATTTCACAGATAAGTAATTTTATAGCATCAAACAATTTTGAACAGACTCTTTCTATGTTAGAGTTCTCTGTGTCAGCCGAGGATTAGCTGACTTGCCATTACTGGAATTGTGCTGCAGCTGGGTGAACAGCTGTGCATTTCCCCTTCTCTCTACACATGTCCCATGATGTGGCCACTGCCACTGGCCACAGCTTGGTAGCAACCAGCAGAAATCCTGTATCGCATAACAGCTGTCATGACCTCTGAACCCAAATTGTATTTGTGCAAATACACCAAGATCCCCAGTCAGAATGGCTGTTACTAAAAAGCCAAAAATTAACAGATGCTGGCAAGGCTGTGAAGAAAAAGGAACACTTACACACTGTTGGCGGGAGTGTAAATTAGTTCAGCCATTGTGGAAGACAGTGGCAATTCCTGAAAGACCTAAAGACAGAAATACTATTCTACCCAGCAATCCCATTACTGGGTCTATACCCAAAGGTATATAAATCATTCTTTTATAAAGACATATGCATGTGGATGTTCATTGCAGCACTGTTCATAGTAGCAAAAACATGTAATCAACCTAAATGCCCATCAATGATAGACTGGATAAAGAAAATGTGGTACATATACACCATGGAATACTATGCAGCCATAAAAAAGAATGAGATCATGTCTTTTGCAGGGACATGGATGGAGCTGGAGGCCATTATCCTTAGCAAACTAACACAAGAACAGAAAACCAAATACCACATATTTTCACTTATAAGTGGGAGCTAAATGATGAAAACACATGGACACATACAGGGGAACACACACTGGGGCCTTTCAGAGGGTGGGTCAGGAAAATAACTAATGGGTACTAGGCTTAATACCTGGGTGATGAAATAATCTGTACAACAAACCTCCATGACTCAAGTTTACCTATGTAACAAACCTGCACTTGTACCCCTGAACCTAAAATAAAAGTTAAAAAAAAATACACCAAGATTCAATGTCTGGTTCATAGAGGTAACTAATATGTAGCAACCCCAGCAGTTACTTTCTCTCTTTCTTTTCTTTTTTCTTTTGAGACAGGGTCTTGCTCTGTTGCCCAGGCTGGAGTGCAGTGGCACGATCACAGCTCACTGTGGCTTTGACCTCCTGGGCTCCGGTGATCGTCCCACCTCAGCCTCCCATGTAGCTGGGATTACAAGCATGTGCCGCCACACCCAGCTAACTTTTTGTAGAGATGAAGTTTTGCCATATTGAGGTTTTGTCATGTTGCCCAGGCTGGCCTTGGACTCCTGGGCCTTAAGCAATCCACCCGCCTCGGCCTCCCAAAGTGCTGGGATTACAGGCATGAGCCACCACACCTGGGTCCAGCAGTTACTTTCTATAAGAGGTAATGGAGGCCGGGCGCAGTGGCTCATGCTTGTAATCCTAGCAGTTTGGGAGGCCGAGGCAGGTGGATCTTTTGAGGCCAGGAGTTTGAGACCTGCCTGGCCAACACGGTGAAATCCCGTCTCTACTAAAAATACAAAATTATCTGGGTGTGGTGGTGGGCACCTGTAATCCCAGCTACTTGGGAGGCTGAGGCAGGAGAATCACTTAAACCTAGGAGGTGGAGGTTGTAGTGAGCCAAGATCGCACCATTGTACTTCACCCTGGGCAACAGAGTGAGACTCTGTCTCAAAAAAAAAAAAAACAAACACAGAAGAAGAAGAAGTAATGGAGGCCAGGTCCAGTTGTGGCTCACGCCTGTAATCCCAACTACCTGGGCAGGCTGAGGTGGGAGAATCACTTTGGCCCAGGACTTTGAGGCCAGCCTGAACAACATAACAGGATCCTGTCTCTAAAAAATAAAAATGAAATAAGGGAGCACTGCTTACTAGCAGCCTTCACAATCCATGTTTAGAGGTGTCCAGGAGCAACCTAGGAGCTCAGAGAAGCTGCCAGCAGCTAAAAACTTATCAGTTTCCAAAAATCATTATGTATATTGGAGGGACAAAGGCCAATCACCTTGTGGTTCACTTTGGACTTGGGAGTAGGTAGGTGGCAGCAATAAGTCCCCATTGGTCTGAACTCCACTTTGCCTAAGACCTGATTCAGCCTGTGGGTGCTTCCTGACACCCCATGAAACTGATCGGTCCATAAGACTGTAAGATTTGATATAGATATACAGATATATAGATTTTTTTTTGAGATGGAGTCTCACTCTGTTGCCCAGGCTGGAGTGCAGTGGTGCAATCTCGGCTCACTGCAACCTCCGCCTCCTGGGTTCAAGTGATTCTCATGCCTCCGTCTCCTGAGTAACTGGGATTACAGGTGCCCACCACCACCCCTGGCTAATTTTTTTTGTATTTTTAGTAGAGACGGGTTTTCACCATGTTGACCAGGCTGGTCTTGAACTCCTGACCTCAGGTGATCCACCTGCCTCGGCCTCCCAAAGTGCTGGGATTAGATTACAGGAGTGAGCCACTGCACCCAGCCAGATATGATATTTTTATTAAGATCTTTTCTATTACAGAATACAAAATTGAAACATACAGAAAAGTAGAAAAATATACCAAATCTACCATTTAATTAAAATCACCGTTTATGTCTTGGTGTATTCCATTTATTGATTGATTGATTTGATACAAATATTACCTAAGGCCTCCAATGCACGGTGCTAGGCACTGGGGGGTACTGAGGTAAACTCAGTGCTTTGGAGAGCCTGTAGCATTTCCCTCCAGTCTTTTTCTAGATATCTCTGTACATGCAAAAATGTTTCAAGCTTTTCTAAAATCATAGGAACAGTCTAAAAAGTGTAAAATAAATCTCAATTTTATCAATAGTTTTGAACACCTTGGACACCTTAGCTTTATTTGAACTAGGAATATGTTGCTCTCATTTCTACTGTCACTATTAGTCATGAACTCAAAGTGGTTAAGATGAGAGATGAGCTGGGAATCAATTAGGGAAAATTATGTTTTGGGGGTGGAATACGGAGGACCTCTCCAGCTCCAGCTCCATCAGCTTTCTTTTTTTTCTTTTCTCTTTTTTTTTTTTTTTTTGAGACAGATTCTTGCTCTGTCGCCCAGGCTGGAGTGCAGTGGCAGTGATCTCGGCTCACTGCAACCTCCACCTCCCAGGTTCAGGCGATTCTCCTCCCTCAGCCTCCCAAGTAGCTGGGATTACAGGCACGCACCACCACACCCAGCTAATTTTCATATTTTAGTAGAGATGGGGTTTCACCACTTTGGCCAGGCTGGTCTCGAACTCCTGACCTCATGATCTGCCCACCTTGGCCTCCAAGGTGTAGTGCTGGGATTACAGGCATGAGCCACTGCACCCAGCCTCTATCAGCTTGCTTTTTTTTTTTTTTTTGAGGAGTCTCATTCTGTCACCCAGGCTGGAGTGCAATGGCACGATCTCAGCTCACTGCAACCTCCACCTCCCTGGTTCAAGCAATTCCCTGCCTCAGTCTTTTGAGGAGCTGGGATTACAGGGGCACACCACCAAACCTGGCTAATTTTTTTGTATTTTTAGTAGAAACGGGGTTTCACCATGTTGGCCAGACTGGTCTCGAACTCCTGACCTCAGGAGATCAGCCCGCCTCGGCCTCCCAAAGTGCTGGGATTACAGGTGTGAGCCACCGCGCCCAGCCTCTATTAGCTTTCTAATGTCCTCGGAGTTCCTTCTTCCTTCAGTGTTCATGCTGATGGATGAACAGCCTTCCCTCCACTGGAGGCTGTCCTTGCCTCTCCTAACTGGGGGCTGCCATGGCTCAGTCTCCCCTCGGCACTGAAGCATCCACTTTTCTGGGTCTCAGTCCACCTCTTGCTTGTGTATTTCCTGGTCCTCAACAGACCCTGTTGAGCATAGTCTAGGACCACTTCATGCCTTGACAGACTCCATTTGGAGACTGCAGCAGATGCTATTGATGTCCCACATCCCCTTGGCCCATCTGAGACTGCCTATAGCTGCAACAGACAGCACACAGCATGCTAATAGCATCCTACCTCCAGCACCTGTGTTTTCTCTCTCACTTCTCTCTCTGGTTCTCAAACCAGATTCTCCACCATTTTCATGTTTTCTGAAATCAGCTATTTACAAGAGCGATTGCTCCCATGAGTGTATTTGCCCAGTGTGTCTGCTCTTCCATTAGCAGCAAAACTGGCAAGGGGGGATTGGAGGTGGAGGTGGAGGTGGAAATGCAATGGGGCTATGTTTCTACCATAGGTACTTCGTACTTTGTGTGTGTGTTTAAATCAACTTTTTTTGATTAAAAAAAAAGTCTATGATTAGAAAAACTATATATGAAACAGCACACAGACCCATCCAGATCCTTAATCCCTTTCTCCAGAAGCAACAACTATTGTCAAATTTCTGATGTATTCTTCCAGAAATATTCTAGGGATATAAAAGTACAAGCATCTTAAATAGATTCCTTTTGTTTACATACATGGGAGCATAATATATATAACATATATTTAAACTTCACTACATATATTGGGGATCACTCCAAAATAAAGCTACTTCACTTTTCCCCCACAACTTTAAGTAATGTGTTGCTTGGAAATCCCAAGATTTATATAAGCTCTCCCTTTTTAATAGACATTTTGATTGTTTAATCAACTCATTTGCTATCACAAACAATTCTGCCTTGAATATTCTTATGTACATGTTTTTACACACATGTACAACTATACTTTTAATACTTAATATAATTAAAATTTTCTCTTTTGATAATTAGCAGGTGAGAAATAGTATCTTCTTGTTTGATTTGTATTTCTGATGCGTAAAGTTGGAGGTTTGTATATGTTTATCAAACTACTTCTTTTTTATTTTTATTTTTTTAAGATGGAGTTTCACTCTTGTTGCCCAGGCTGGAGTGCAATGGTGCAATTTCAGCTCACTGCAACCTCCGCCTCACAGGTTCAAGCAGTTCTCCTGCCTCAGCCTGCTAAGTAGCTGAGATTACAGGGATGCGCCACCACGCCTGGCTAATTTTGTATTTTTAGTTGAGACAGGGTTTCACCATGTTGGGCAGGCTGGTCTCGAACTCCTGACCTCAGGTGATCCACTCACCTCGGCCTCCCAAAGGGTTGGGATTACAGGTGTGAGCCACCGTGCACGCCCATTATCAAACTATTTCTATTCCTTCTTCAGTGAATTGCCTATTCCCATCTTTTGCCTATTTTCTATCTTATTGATATGAAAACTAGAAGAAACTTCCTTTGTTGAGAAAATTATTCTTCTTAGGCCAAACTTAAAAGTTTTTAGACAGTCAAATTTATTTCCTTTTTGGCTTCTCAGTTTTATGTATTTAAAAAACTTAAATACATAAAAAACCAGTATTATCAATTTAAAAAACCTTCCGCAGTTTAAAATTATTTTATGAAATAACTTGATAATTTTTTCTAGTATTCTCTCAGATTCTTTTTTACATTTAAGACTCTAGGCCAGTGCAGTGGTGCACATGTGTAATCTCAGCTACTTGGGAGGCTAAGTTGGGAGGATAGCTTGAGCCCAAGAGTTTGAGGCTATTGTGAGCTATGATCATGAGCTTTGATCATGCTACTGCACTCTAGCCCGGGCAACAGAGGGAGACCTTGTTTCTAAAAGAAAGAAAAAGAACGAGAGTGAGAGCAAGCGAGAGAGAGAGAAAGAAGGAAAGAGAGAGAGAAAGGAAGGAAGGAAAGAGTGAGGAAAGAGAAAGAAAGAAACAAAGAAAGAAAGGAAGGAAGGAAGGAAGGAAGGAAGGAAGGAAGGAAGGAAGGAAGGAAGGGAGGGAGGGAGGGAGGGAGAGAAAGAAGGGAAGGAAGGGAGGGAGGGAGGATTCTAGTCTATCTGGAAATTATTTTAGAGTAAAAATCAGCTCTCATATTTTTATCTTTTCTTTATTTTTCATTTGTAACCTTGACTGTTTGATCAGTGATTCAGCCTTTGAGGAGTTCAGAACAATCCAGATTTCCCAGGTCCTTGGGAACATGACTGAACCTGGCTTATAGACATGTTGCTGGTTGTGACTTCGAACCCCTAAGCCTCTCCTGCTCTCGGAGCTTTGGGTCCAGAGCCTAAGAAGAGCCTGGGCACCATTCTCACTGGGGCATGTGGGCTCCAGGTGGCCCCCACAGTGACCTGGATTCCCATTTCACTCAGAGTCACAGGCTGTAGCGCTTCCTCTGTAAATTCAGCCCTGGCTCCCTCCCCTCTTCCCTCCCATCCCATCTGCACACTGCCCTGCCAGCTCTTCCTTGCGGAAATTTGCATCGTGGGCTTGTAGGGACTGCTTCACTGAGCCATGGTCTGTTCGGCTGCCCCACTGCTGCTCCTGGCCACAACTCTTCCCCTGCTGGGGTCACCAGTTGCCCAAGCATCCCAACCTGTAAGTGAGACTGGGGTGAGACCCAGGGAAGGTCTGCAGAGGCGACAATGGGGACCCCTGATTGGGAGAGACAAAGCATGGAATGAAAGGATAGGTAGTGGGGAAAGGGCTGAGGGGAGAGGAAGTAATGTGTAAGGAAAGTGGATGCTTTGTTATGAGATCTCTGAGAACTCAGTTTTACTTTCCTGGGTGTGGGGGATAGCTCTTGTTTCCTTATTTGAGTCCCTGTAAACTCATATGATACCTGCTGTACTTTGGATAAAGTCTCATTCAGTCAAGCTGGCCATTTAAAAAGAAAAAGAAAAATTTTGCAGATTTGGAAACTATTGGCTTAGAGGATGGGAGAGAATCTGAGGAAAGACATCAGAGTCTAGAGGGTGCCTTTCCATCTGTGTTCTCCTCAATAGATAGCTATATCTATGGCTATGTCTATATGTCACTAAGCCTAAATCTATCTCTATTGCTAAATTTAAATCTATCTTTATGTAAATATATATCTGTATCTGTATCTAAATCTATCTATATCTATATCTTTTTTAAGACATGCTCTCACCATGTTGCCCAGGCTGGACTTGAACTCCTGGGCTCAAGTGATCCTCCCACCTCAGCCTCCCAAGTAACTGGGACTAAAGGCACGTGCCATTGTGACCAGCTTATACTCACGTCTTATCCATACTCGTATCTATATCAATATCTGGTTTTGGATAGATATCCACACGCACACGCAGGTGCATATAGACAGGGCTCAGGTCTGTGACACAGTGAGCCCCTCCATATTTCCTGGAGGAAGGACTGCCATGTTCTCTCTCCTTGGGCCAGCTCCATCCTCACCTCCCTACCAGACAGACCCTTCCCTGCCTGCCCCATCCCCCTATCTTCTAGCTTTGGCCGATGGCCCAAGGGCCAGACAATGTGGGCCCAGACCTCCACCCTCACCCTGACAGAGGAGGAGTTGGTGAGGAAATAATGTACAGGAACCAAAGACGGAGGAAAGAGGCTGCCTTCTGCTCACCCTGCTGTCAAATCCTACAGAAGGAATAAACTCCCCAAGCGCCTGGGCCCCAGCCAGCAATGTCCAGCTCCGCTGCTGGAGCTCCAGACCAAGCCATTTCAATTAGCCTAGAGGCCCAGGGACAGGTAAACGCAGGAAGGAATTAAACAAAGCATGTTGACTTCCCAGGGCGTGCCTGGTTCCTGGTCTTGGGTGGGATAGCAGGGTTCCTGGGGTTGCATCCCTGGCACCCCCTAACAGAAGCCTGCTTTCCCTTCCTGATGTGTACACTTGACTCCTGGCAAAAAGAAGAGCTGGTTGAGACTGAGTCATGCTGGCTGAGACTAGTCAGGCTGGCCCCTGGGGTGCCTTTGGAAGGGACTTGAGGTCTCCCCTCTGTGTTCTGTTCCAGGGACAGAGTCAGGCTGGAGGGGAATCTGGATCTGGGCAGCTCCTGGACCAAGAGAATGGAGCAGGGGGTGAGTGTATGGACAGGAGGAGGAGGGAGGGGGAGGAGATGGGAGCTGGGAATGAGGTGGAAACCCAGGACCCAGAAAAGAGAGGGCAGGTGCAGCGAGGGAGTGGTGGCGGAGAGAGAGGACTGGCTCTGATCACAGTCGGACAGGTCTGTGACCAGTTCTCTAGCGGAGAGGCCTGGAAATGAACTCATTTGTCTTTGAAGCCTCATCCATAAAATAGGTGTTGCTGGACGGATGACATGAAGCCGTGTATCTGAAGGCACAGTGCCTAGGGGAGGACTTGCTCCCTTCCTGAGCCCTGTCTATATGCACCTGGACAGGCTGTGGGAGGGGGTCTGCTCTGCATTCCTGGGACTGGCCAGCTAGGTGAGAGAATCCAGAGGGGACCGGCTTGTGGCCTCGCTGCCTGTCCTCTCCAGCTGTCCCCTCTGCTCCTGTAGAATCAGCGCTGGTCTCCGTCTATGTACATCTGGACTTTCCAGATAAGACCTGGCCCCCTGAACTCTCCAGGACACTGACTCTCCCTGCTGCCTCAGCTTCCTCTTCCCCAAGGCCTCTTCTCACTGGCCTCAGACTCACAACAGGTACCACTTGCGTGGGAAGGGGGCTGAGAGTGAATGAACATAGGCTCCCGGGCCTCCTGCAGCCAGCTTGCCTGAGACTCTGTGAGCCCCTCTGTATTTCCTGGAGGAAGGGCTGCCTGGTTCTGTCTCCGTGGCCCAGCTCCTTCCTCACCTCCCTACCAGACAGACCCTTCCTTGCCTGCCACATCCCCCTATCTTCTAACTTTGGCTGATGGCCCAAGGGACAGACAACGTGGGCCCAGACCTCCACCTTCACCTGTTCCCTGGCCCCCGAGACATCTGCTGCTTCGAGTCCTGACTGAGGAGGCAGTCCTGATGCATGGGCCTGACTGAGGCACCTGTAGCTTGGGGATTGGTCCAGATACCCAGCCCTAAAGCCTCTCAGGCATCAGGCAGGTGTCTGCCCTGCCCACCTAGCTTCTTCAGACAGCCTGCCCACCCCCTCTTCTCTTCTCTCTGTCAGAGTGTAATGTCAACCACAAGGGGAATTTCTATTGTGCTTGCCTCTCTGGCTACCAGTGGAACACCAGCATCTGCCTCCATTACCCTCCTTGTCAAAGCCTCCACAACCACCAGCCTTGTGGCTGCCTTGTCTTCAGCCATCCCGAACCCGGGTACTGCCAGTTGCTGCCACCTGGTGAGGAAGGTTGGGAACTTGGAAACCAATGGCCTTAAGTGAAATAAATGTTCTCAGTGGTTTTCTCCTCTCTGAACCTGTAGTTTGGCCAGCTGGTCCAAGCACAGCTGCTCCTCTGGGTGGGAGAAAAAGCCAGCCATCATAGCAGATCACAGGCCCTGAGCTTGGAACCTGAGTAGGGAGACTAATGAGAGAGGCCCCAGAGACATAAGGACCAGGAGAGAAAGTGCTGGAGTGACTGCTTTTTACCTTAGGAGGCAGGAAGCAGCTCCAGTAGCCCAGGATACCTGGGGGAGGGAGAGGCATAGACCAAAAAGGTTCCCTCTTTGGTTTCCAATAACAGATAGAGTCTTCCAGGCTGGATTGCAGCAGCCACATTCAGGTGCCCACCCAGGGACAAAAAGAAAAAGTTAAAAAGCTAGGGAGGGAGTGTGGAGGAATGGGCTCCAGAGTCAGGGGAGAAGCCATTGCTCGGCTGCATCTGAGGGCCATAAGTCCCTCCTCCAGGGTCCCCTGTCACCTGCCTCCCTGCAGTCCCCGGGATCCTCAACCTGAACTCCCAGCTGCAGATGCCTGGTGACACGCTGAGCCTGACTCTCCATCTGAGCCAGGAGGCCACCAACCTGAGCTGGTTCCTGAGGCACCCAGGGAGCCCCAGTCCCATCCTCCTGCAGCCAGGGACACAGGTGTCTGTGACTTCCAGCCACGGCCAGGCTGCCCTCAGCGTCTCCAACATGTCCCATCACTGGGCAGGTAGCCAGCCTGTCCTCTCCTTGCCTCCTTTCTCCTTCCTCTTACTTCCCTTCATCCTCGTCTTCCTTCTCTGCTTTCCTTCACCTCTTCTTCCCACGCCTCCCTCCCTTCTCCTTCCTTCTTTTCTTTCCACCTCTTTCTCACCCTTTTCATCTTTCCATTTACCCATTCTGGGGAAACAAAGGCTAAGAGGTCCCTTGGTGTGAAAAATTGCAATGTGGAAAATTCTAAAAATGGCCAGCTGTTTTCACTGTGGTCTGGGACTTCTGAGACCCTTTTCAGGGTTTACAAAGTCACAACTATTGTCCTAATATGCTAAGATGTCATTTGACCCTTTCACTCCCACTCCCTCAGGTGTAGACAGTGGCCCTTTCCAGAGGCTACAGGGCCATCACGAGATTGAATGCAAATGCAGATGGGAGAACCCAGACACGGGCAAGATTTGCAAACATGTAAAACAAAGTCACTTGTCTAATTATGTTTTGGAAAATGTAGTTATTTTTCATAAAAATGTTTCTGTTAACAAAAATACTACAATTCTCCACACAAAATATGGAGAATGTGGAGAATACCGTCTCAATGTCTGCTGAGAACAGATCCATGTTTTTCAAGATGCTAAAATGGCAGGGGTGGTGCAGGAAGGGCATCTGCTCTAGGGAGAGCATGAAATTCACGGGCATGGGCCGATAAAAGAGAGATCTCTTCTACCTCCTAGAAATCCTTCTTGGGGACAGGGAATGTCCACCAAAGGGGCCATCCTGGGACCTTGCTTGCTGGGGTTAAGCACTGGGTGGCAGGCAGAGGACAGGAGCAAGGCTGTGGCTTGGAAAGCAGCAGAGATTCTGTGGTGCAGCGGGGCCCAGAGGAGCCACATAGCGCCGCACACACGTTTCTGCAGGTGAGTACATGAGCTGCTTCGAGGCCCAGGGCTTCAAGTGGAACCTGTATGAGGTGGTGAGGGTGCCCTTGAAGGCGACAGATGTGGCTCGACTTCCATACCAGCTGTCCATCTCCTGTGCCACCTCCCCTGGCTTCCAGCTGAGCTGCTGCATCCCCAGCACAAACCTGGCCTACACCGCGGCCTGGAGCCCTGGAGAGGGCAGCAAAGGTATGAGAAGGGGCCAGCAGTCAGGGGTCAGAGGGACCAGGGGGCAGCTGTCTCTTCCAGGCAGCTGGGTCTTCAGCTCATGAGAAACAGAGGCCACAGTTCAACCAGAGAGTGGGGTCCAAGGCCAACACTGTTTTCTACCCCATCAGAGCCATGCCACGTCTATTGCCATAACATAACCACATGTGTATAGGAAACTTTTGCAAAATGCTGTCATCTACACAATCTCATTTAACTCTCTATGGAATTAGTTTGATGGTAGTCTCCATTTTACAAATGAGGAAATGGTGGAAACTGAGTCCTAGAGCTTGTTAGAGACCCCACAGTCCCCTCCAGCAAAATCCAAGCTCTCTTCCTCTGTCCAAGTGGAGCCCACACATCATTTGGCTCTTCCCCACTGCTTCCTCTGTTTCTGAATTGCTAGAAAGACTGAAACAGCATGTCAGAGCCTGCTGGGTTCCAGGCCTGTCCCTGGCCCAATGACAGTTCCCTTCTTCGTTTTGCCTTCAGCTTCCTCCTTCAACGAGTCAGGCTCTCAGTGCTTTGTGCTGGCTGTTCAGCGCTGCCCGATGGCTGACACCACGTACGCTTGTGACCTGCAGAGCCTGGGCCTGGCTCCACTCAGGGTCCCCATCTCCATCACCATCATCCAGGGTACGCAGGGCCTGGGGCCCAGTGGGCTGGTCCCAGCTGCTTGCCTTGGGAGCACGGGCTCTCTTGCATGGCACGTCTCTGCCCTGGGCAACAGGACCAGGCTTCGGGGCCCGCATAGGGTTCTGCCCAAGGAGAGGCTCAGGTGAGGCTGTGATTGCTGAGTAGCGCCTGCTCGTCATTCTTCAGATGGAGACATCACCTGCCCTGAGGACGCCTCGGTGCTCACCTGGAATGTCACCAAGGCTGGCCACGTGGCACAGGCCCCATGTCCTGAGAGCAAGAGGGGCATAGTGAGGAGGCTCTGTGGGGCTGACGGAGTCTGGGGGCCGGTCCACAGCAGCTGCACAGATGCGAGGCTCCTGGCCTTGTTCACTAGAACCAAGGTGAAGCTTCCACCCTGCTGCCCACGTGCCCCCTCCACGGCCCACCCTAGCCTCTCTAGGACCCAGCTTGCAGACCCTTTTCCCCAAGGCCCAGCCCACAGGCTGTTCAGCTTCTCTGAAGTGGAGCCCTAGCAGAGCCAGGAAGTAGGAGTGAGAGGGCTTCTGGGGGTCAACAATCTCCATGGGTCTGGGATGCTCTTCTCAAACCATCATTCCACCATGTGTCCCACTTCATGCTGTCTCGTCTGTCTCAGCTGCTGCAGGCAGGCCAGGGCAGTCCTGCTGAGGAGGTGCCACAGATCCTGGCACAGCTGCCAGGGCAGGCGGCAGAGGCAAGTTCACCCTCCGACTTACTGACCCTGCTGAGCACCATGAAATACGTGGCCAAGGTGGTGGCAGAGGCCAGAATACAGCTTGACCGCAGAGCCCTGAAGGTGAGATCTCTGAGCCACAGTGGGGGCCAGCTGGGCAGTCGGGGGCTGAAGACTCCCCACCTGTGGGCATTTCTGTCCCTCTGATGTCACCATGGGCTGTTGGGCAGCAGACCTTTCCAGAGTCCAGGGGCCTGCTCCTGATCCATTTCTCCTCTCAGACACCACTCTCTGAGGCTGCAGAATGGAGGCCTGGCGCTGGGAGCACATGGGGGTTGGAGGCAGGCAAGGGTGTGGAGACATGAGGCCCGAGGCGTGTGTGCGCATGCAGGCGTGTGGCTATGATACAGACAGGAAGTTTCTATGGAGACGCTGAAGTATGCTTGGCTTTGCTGGGCTCACCTAAATCGGCTCTCTGTATGGGCATCCATTGGTGACCCATGAGCTGCAGCCAAAAGTGTAACAAAGGGCAATGATATTACACACCGTTTATGCCTGGGAATACATGGCATGTGTGAATGCACAGACATGCGTGTGGCCGTCGCCTCCAGGACACGGTGCCCTCTACCACTGCTGGTCACCATTCCTAGCTTTGCAGACCTGGAGGGGCCAAAGAATGGGAGAAGTCCCCTCTTAGAACCTGGGTGGCCCCTAGGGATGGAGGGGGAAGAAGGGTTTTCAGCAGAGGGGCTGGGTGCAGGTCAGGGGACATATCCTTGAAGATGCCCCAGGTGGTTGGCCAAACAGCTCCCTGTTCTTCCCATCTAGAAAGTCTCCCTTCACAGGCCTGTCTTCCTCTCCCTTTTCTCTCCAACCTTGGGTCGCACACTGGACTGGGAAGGGAAGGTGTGGGGTCTGTTGTTCTCATTGCCCCCGGCTCAGTCCTGTGGGCGCCAGCAGACGGGGTTCATCTTTCTTTTGGGTGCTGCAGAATCTCCTGATTGCCACAGACAAGGTCCTAGATATGGACACCAGGTCTCTGTGGACCCTGGCCCAAGCCCGGAAGCCCTGGGCAGGCTCGACTCTCCTGCTGGCTGTGGAGACCCTGGCATGCAGCCTGTGCCCACAGGACCACCCCTTCGCCTTCAGCTTACCCAATGTGCTGCTGCAGAGCCAGCTGTTTGGACCCACGTTTCCTGCTGACTACAGCATCTCCTTCCCTACTCGGCCCCCACTGCAGGCTCAGATTCCCAGGCACTCACTGGCCCCATTGGTCCGTAATGGAACTGAAATAAGTATTACTAGCCTGGTGCTGCGAAAACTGGACCACCTTCTGCCCTCAAACTATGGACAAGGGCTGGGGGATTCCCTCTATGCCACTCCTGGCCTGGTCCTTGTCATTTCCATCATGGCAGGTGACCGGGCCTTCAGCCAGGGAGAGGTCATCATGGACTTTGGGAACACAGATGGTTCCCCTCACTGTGTCTTCTGGGATCACAGTCTCTTCCAGGGCAGGGGGGGTTGGTCCAAAGAAGGGTGCCAGGCACAGGTGGCCAGTGCCAGCCCCACTGCTCAGTGCCTCTGCCAGCACCTCACTGCCTTCTCCGTCCTCATGTCCCCACACACTGTTCCGGAAGAACCCGCTCTGGCGCTGCTGACTCAAGTGGGCTTGGGAGCTTCCATACTGGCGCTGCTTGTGTGCCTGGGTGTGTACTGGCTGGTGTGGAGAGTCGTGGTGCGGAACAAGATCTCCTATTTCCGCCACGCCGCCCTGCTCAACATGGTGTTCTGCTTGCTGGCCGCAGACACTTGCTTCCTGGGCGCCCCATTCCTCTCTCCAGGGCCCCGAAGCCCGCTCTGCCTTGCTGCCGCCTTCCTCTGTCATTTCCTCTACCTGGCCACCTTTTTCTGGATGCTGGCGCAGGCCCTGGTGTTGGCCCACCAGCTGCTCTTTGTCTTTCACCAGCTGGCAAAGCACCGAGTTCTCCCCCTCATGGTGCTCCTGGGCTACCTGTGCCCACTGGGGTTGGCAGGTGTCACCCTGGGGCTCTACCTACCTCAAGGGCAATACCTGAGGGAGGGGGAATGCTGGTTGGATGGGAAGGGAGGGGCGTTATACACCTTCGTGGGGCCAGTGCTGGCCATCATAGGCGTGAATGGGCTGGTACTAGCCATGGCCATGCTGAAGTTGCTGAGACCTTCGCTGTCAGAGGGACCCCCAGCAGAGAAGCGCCAAGCTCTGCTGGGGGTGATCAAAGCCCTGCTCATTCTTACACCCATCTTTGGCCTCACCTGGGGGCTGGGCCTGGCCACTCTGTTAGAGGAAGTCTCCACGGTCCCTCATTACATCTTCACCATTCTCAACACCCTCCAGGTAGGTGATAGGGGGGTGGCTGTGTTTTTTGCTTTTTTAGATGGTCTAAGTCACTGCCGATCTCTTCTCTAGGAGGTACCAAGGTGGAGCAGAAGAAACATAGGTTCAGGAATTTTGGAAGGCTTAGGTGTGGATCCCAGTTCCTCCACTGAGTAGCTGGATAACTTTGGACAAATTACATAACCTCTCTGAGCTTTGGTTTTCTTATCTGTAAAATAATAGCTGATTTTGTTGGAGAAATCAGGAAATTGTCAGTACCCAATCCTTTGCTATCCCTTTTATAACCATAACAATAAGAAAAGCACCTGAAATGGATCCTATGCACCAAATAGTGGTAACAGAAAAATTGAGATGAGAAGCCTTAGGATGTGAATTACACAGGACAGAA
Organism: Homo sapiens; assembly: GCF_000001405.40. Classification (NCBI taxonomy): domain Eukaryota; kingdom Metazoa; phylum Chordata; class Mammalia; order Primates; family Hominidae; genus Homo; species Homo sapiens. The sequence goes on along the minus strand of NC_000002.12, from coordinate 26,310,303 downwards.
GGAGCATGTTGATTCGGGTGGATCCCTTCCTCCTTGACCAGCTTATCCCCATGTCCCTCTTCTCAGGGCGTCTTCATCCTATTGTTTGGTTGCCTCATGGACAGGAAGGTAAGTCTGCCCACCTAACCCCCTGCCTCACTTGCAGCCCGCAGGCCGGGGCCGTGGCTGGCATAAGCAGAGCATTTACCTCTCCCGCAGATACAAGAAGCTTTGCGCAAACGCTTCTGCCGCGCCCAAGCCCCCAGCTCCACCATCTCCCTGGTGAGTTGCTGCCTTCAGATCCTCAGCTGTGCATCCAAGAGCATGTCAGAAGGCATTCCATGGCCCTCCTCAGAGGACATGGGCACAGCCAGAAGCTGAGAGAAGATTGGGGTTGTTTTTTAGAATGAACAGTTTTCCGGTTCCAGCTCCCCACCAGTGGAATGAGCAGCCTGGTCAGAGCAGTCAGGATCAGGGTCCTGGGTTCCTGATTATCACCTGGACTCCTGCTGACTCTCTTTTCTCTGGTTTCTCCATCTAAAAATCTGCCTCCAGTTAGCATTTGAAGGAAAAGTGTGGGATCAGTACTCATGGGAGTTACTGTAGCTGAGAGCAAAATTTCTAGGATTCCTGCAGCACAGGCAGGAGTGCATGTGAGAAAGTAAAACAGATACAACCTCTTCAAGGGAGAGTTGACAATACTAATAACTGCCCTGCAATTGGGCCTTCCCACCCCTTCCTAGGCCACAAATGAAGGCTGCATCTTGGAACACAGCAAAGGAGGAAGCGACACTGCCAGGTGAGAACTAGGCTTTCTCAGGGGCAGCGTAAGCAGGGTGGATTGAGGACGGTGTGGCAAAGGGCCTCCTGGCAAAGTGCTGGAGAGAAGCCTCCTCTTTCTATACCCAGCCCACACCAAAGGGTAGGAAACAGGTTTTTCTAGGGTAGCCATTGCTAGATGGCTGGGAGACGGTGGAAATGTCAGAGAGCAGAAAGCATAGCACCTTATCTTGCTTTCCAAGAAAGCAAGAAGTTTCACCACCACCAGTCCTTGACTTGGTTTCTCTGAAAATTCCTTTTCACATTATCACACATTTAATTATCATGAGAGTCACGCCTTGAAGGGATTGCCATGGGTGGGCTTGGTATCCAGAGGGGAGGGCAGCCTGCAGAAGTTGGGCTCAGTATCCACTCACCAGCCGCAAGCTCTTTCACAGGAAGACAGATGCTTCAGAGTGAACCACACACGGACCCATGTTCCTGCAAGGGAGTTGAGGCTGTGTGCTTGAACCCACCAGATGAGCCCTGGCCCAATGCTCTGAACTCTTCCCGCCTCCCGGAGCTCAGCCCTTGAGAAAGGCAGGCTTATATTTCCCTTAGTGACACTCATTTATCTTACAGCTCACCCCTTCTCATTTCTAAAGTATCCAGCAAGAATAGCAGGAAAAATTAGCTAAAGGCACCTAATGAATAAGCCTGCCTTTGCTCCAGAAATAATCGACAGATATCAAAGTGCGGAATAATTACAAGTAAACTTTCTCAACCAGTTTTTAACTACAACAATACATGTTGTGAATGAATATATTTGATAAAAATGGTTTTAATTGACCTATTCAGCGATTTCTGATTATTTCTTTTTCAATAGTTATGAAGAAAGGATGACTTACTTGACAGGAACCTCTGATCTTTCAAACATTGGAGATGAAGGGCAGAATTTGGTTTGTCTTTTCAAGTTTAGGAAAAGGTGAAGTTAATTGGTCCCTCTTTCTTTAACCTTTAAAAAATCAATATAAAATGTAAGTTTCTTAACCATATCCATGTATAGAGGCATTGATTGATATGAGCACGTTGTAAGAATAGGTTATAAAAATTTAAAGTTTAATATAAATTTATATCAATTAATAAAGTTTAATTTATATTTAAAAATGAATACTAGAAGAAAATCTTTTTGAAGACACCAAGATATCTATCTGGCTGAATTAACTTATGGAATTCACAAGAGGAAGATGACAGGATTCTGAGAAATTTTTAAACTAGATACGTGAAAAAAGTCTGATGAATCGGTCTTTGTTAATTATGCAATTCATGGATATTTTTTATAAAATGGGACGGGGGCATTTTCTGTTAAAATAAAAATGGTTATGCTATCACGTACCGTTGAAAACACTTTTCTTACAAACGCCATGCCTTCACTTAATGATTAGTGTGAATATTTGAATTGTGTATAAATTGGCCCAAATGTTTCTATAAGTGGATTCATTATACTTTCAAAGAGAAGCCACCAATTCAGCAGGGCCATTGCAGTGTTCTCTTTTTTTTTTTTTTTTTTTTTTTTTTTGAGACAGAGTCTTGCTCGGTCACCCAGGCTGGAGTGGAGTGGTGCAATCTCGGCTCACTGTAAGCTGCATCTCCCATGTTCACTACATTCTCCTGCCTCAGCCTCCCGAGTAGTTGGGACTACAGGTGCCCGCCACCACGCCCAGCTAATTTTTTGTATTTTTAGTAGAGACGGGGTTTCACCGTGTTAGCCAGGATGGTCTCCATCTCCTGACCTCACGATCCACCCACCTCGGCCTCCCAAAGTGCTGGGATTACAGGTGTGAGCCACCGTGCCCGGGCCCATTGCAGTGTTTCTAAGCCTCACACTCACTCCAGCCCTGTAGGAGGCAGGTGGTGACTAAGACAGAGCAAGCTCTGCCTTGCAGCATAGACATGTCTCAACCCCACTTCATTTCACTTCCACTTCACTGATAGTTTTCATTTTATAAATTACAAAAGTATCTTTTGGTTACAAATCCAAATAATACTCTTTCACTTTAGAAGCAACAGGGTCCCCCTTTCTGAGTGCGCTTCTGTAGATATATGTGCTCTAATTTTCCTTCGCAATTGTTTGCACATACTCAATGCATGCTCTGCTGGTAAAAACACACAGAATTACACTGGGCACTGTGGCTCATGCTTGTAATCCCAGCGCTTTGGGAGGCCCAGGTGGGCAGATCACATGAGGTCGGGAGTTCGAGACCAGCATGGACAACATGGTGAAACCCTGCCTCCACTAAAAATACAAAAATTCACCAGGTGTGGTGGCGCGTGCCTGTAGTCCCAGCTACTCGGGAGGCTGAGGCAAGAGAATTGCTTGAACCGGGGAGACGGAGGTCACAGTGAGCCAAGATCGTGCCACTGCACTCCAGCCTGGGCAACAGAGAGATACTCTGTCTCAAAAAAAAAAAAAAAAAAAAAAAAAGCCACACACAGAATTGACAGATGGAATGACATTAAGTTCTTGTTTACTTGGCTCTCACCATAAAACAAAAAAACAAAACAAAACAAGACAGGACTGTAAAAGAAGGCTTTGGAGACAAAGGTAAGAAAACTGACACTCAGCAGCAATTCCATTTCTAAAAAGATGGCTTTAAAAAATAAGTGGGCCAGGCACAGTGGCTCACGCCTGTAACCCCAGCACTTTGAGAGTCTGAGGTGGAAGGATCACTTGAGCCCAGGAGTTCAAGACGAGCCTGGGCAACATAGGGAGGACCCTATCTCTACAAAAAAAAAAAAATTAAAATTAGCCAGGTGTGGTGGCACATGCCTGTGGTCCCAGATACTCAGGAAGCTGAGGTGGGAGGATTGCCCGAGCCAGGGAGGTTGAGGCTGCAGTGATCACACCACTGCACTCCAGCCTAGGCAACAGAGCGACACCCTGTCTCCAAAAAAAAGAAAAAGAAAGAGAGAGAGAAAGAGAAGTGGATGAGTGAATAGATAATGTGCACAAACAATGTGCATTCCAGTGTGTGTATGTCCTCTAAAAAGAGGCACCTAGAAAAATAAACTAGGATATAGCCATACAAAGGAACACCATGTGGTCATTAAAAATGATGATGTATAGCTACACCTACTGATAGGGAAAAATATTTAGACTATATTGCAGTGGGATAATTAAAGAATCAGAGAGACCGAGGGGTTGAGGAGGAATTATTTAATTATTTAGATGCACCAAACCAGTCAGATTAACATTTAAAGGACACAGCCTTGAACAGAGTTAAGCTACCTTTTAAGCATTTTGTGGGGCGAGGGGAGATCTGTGCAGGGGGAAGCCTATTATAGAAACAAGAAGCAAAGACAGTTATTTAACTGAGACATGCATTATATTACTTTTTACTTTTTAAGGAACAACATGTTTTATGACTTGAGATTATCTGTCTAGTGACCTTACAGCTGCACAGCTAGAGAAACAGTCTTCACAATGCCTGGGAAAGGGAGAGAGAAGGCTCACTAGCCACAGAAAAACAGGCAGTTGATTTTAAAGGACTCCAGCTCTTTCTCTTCTTCAGGGGGAATTGGTGTTTTTTTTTTTTTAAACATATAACTGAGTTTTTGCTCACACATTCTTTAATTTCTTTTAATTTCTGTTCCATTTCCCCCCTTTGGTGCTTTTCATAACAAAGGTGTTAATAGAAAGCACCACTATTTGCCACCTCTTCACAGAGCTGAGCTCTTTCTTCTACTGGCAGCGGCTGATATTTGGTTAATGCCATCAACTGCGTGGCAGTGTGTCGGGTTACCACTGCCTCTATAGTTGACAAATACTCCTACTTACAGGGGTAAAAGTCAAGGGAGGATGAGGCAGATTCCAAGAATAAACAAAAACCCACCAATGAGGGTTTTGAATCTTTTAAAGGTTGAGAACCATCCTCTAAACAAGGAATCCGGGGATTATCTGGAGCAAGTCTGAACTGGAACATGGGCTAACTTGCGCATTTTAGCTGTGATTTCTATGACAGCTCGGCCGTTATTATCTTTCCAGTCTTTTATGTCTACATTTTTTTGACATTTGTGTCATTTTTGCGATTATGCTTTTTTTAGTTTTTTTTTAAATTTTCATTATAAACTGGATATCCTAAGAGTTCCCCTTGCTTTAGAGGAATTAGAAAGAAGGATGGCTTGATTGTTCCTAACACACACGCCTCTGTCTATTTAGCTGATATGCCTGTGCCGACACACCCGTGCTCCACAGTTCCAATATAGGCCAAAGGGTGCTTTCTAAGCATCTGGAGCCTCTAGCTGATGCCAAGAGTGGCTTAGAGTAGAGAACCGAGAGAAAGGGTTTGGATCTGGTAAATAGGAGTCGTTCTGGGCGTTTCTGCATAGAGTTTTGTTTTTAGTCTCATCATAATACTGTTGCCCTAGGCAGGTTGTTTCTCCTACTGCCTCTGTGAAAGCTTTTTTTTTTTTTTTTACTCAGGCGATACAGTACTTTTCAATTACGGAGGTTTTAAACAACCAAACACTGGTTGAGGCTGTTGGTTCACTGGCAGGGTTAGGCGAAGTAAAGTTATCTTGTGGCATTACTTTTTTTGCCTCTCATGGCCACTGGTCCCCTATATTAGTTTCTCCGCATACATAGCATAAGGAAATTTCCAAGCTGCCAGATATGTTTTTAGCTAGTTGAGCAAGTAAATTTTTGGTTGATGGGAAAGCTCAGGCACTGACTGATCAAAATGTTTATAGAATGACTTATGGACCCGGAATTGTGGGGTTGGACACATTTGAATCCTTCTAGTCTTTTTGACAATTAGTAGTGGAACTCCAAGGCCTACTCCTTGTCTATCAACTCATAATAGTGCTGTCTGTCCTGTAGACCAAAAAGGTAGCTCTGGCTTTAAGATAGTAAAATTTAAAGGATTGCATGTTCTTGCCTTACAATTTGGTTTGGTTGACATACTACTTAGCAGAGCAATCCTTCCTGAATATAAGTGTTGGAGATGTGTTAGTGTAGACCACCGAATGTTACAGTCTGGGCATCCGATTTGTAGCTCTCCGTACAGGTGTTTAGGGCTGCTCTTGCTAAGCCTCTCTTGTGTTAAACCATTGCAGACTGTTTCTGGTTGTATGTGTAGGTTTCTAACTTGGTTCCTGTACATTTATAGTAGGTATGGTACAGTAGAGTTTTAACTACGCTATTCCTTACCCAGATAGTATGTACACAGTGTGGACATCCTTCTAGAGATTTCTCCCCTTCTAGTATAGGCAGAAATGGTAACGACAACAGTGTATGTAATAGAAACATGCCTATACTATACATGGGCATGGCAAACCTTCCTCTGGGCATAGACATTTGCAGCATTTGCAATGATAACATAACAGCAGAGCAATCAGTGTTGACAGAATTGTAAGTAGGCTTATAAATTGTATCCACATTTACTTATCCGGATATGGTCCTCTTAGCTTCGACTGTGCGTAGACTAGTCAGCTTCCAGGATGTGACTAGAGCAGAGCTTGCAGGATCCTCAAGCTTCAGCCGTGCATAGACTGACCATCCTCCGGTGTGGTCAGAGCAGGCCAGTTGTCCTTCTTACCGGTGGTTGGGTTTCGCCGTAGGACTATTCAGGTGGGGCGATCTGGGTCTTGTTGGTTAATCCACTGGTTATCATCGGGAGTCTCTGTTGCCACTGGTTTCTGCTGGCTATGGTGAATCCAAGGTGTGACACCTGCAACTTTAACAGCAGTGGAAGCAGACATGATTACAATACGAGACCTATCCTGTATGGGTCCCAGAATGGTTGGATTCCATTATTTTAGCTTAAACAAAATCCTTAGGTTTGAAAGGGTGTACTGGGTCTGTTAGACTTATAGGCATTTTTCTATACCCAGTCATGCATTCTTACATGGCCATACTTAAAGTCTGCATTTGCCTTCTTAAAGTTAGTTCTTCTAGTTTACAGAGATTACCTTTAATCTGTCTTATGATGGGTGGGTGGGTGGCCGGCCGAAAAAAATCTCAGAGGGCGAATACCCAGTTTGTTTGGTGGAGGTGCACCTGACTTGGAGGAGGACCATGGGCAAGACCTGATCCTACTTTTGATGAGTTTTTTTGACACAATTTCTTCAGTAGCTGTTTGAGTGTCTGGTTCATGCGTTCCACCTTCCCTGAACTCTGTGGTCGATAGGCTGTGTGCAGTTTCCATTTGATCTTTAAAAGTTGAGTTAGCTGTTGTACAACTTCTGCCACAAATGCAGGACCGTCGTCTGATCCTAGGGTTAGAGGCGACCCAAACCTTGGTATGATGTCTTTCAGTAGCACCTTTGTCACCTCTTGTGTCTTTTTAGTTCCGGTGGGGAAGGCCTCAACCCACCCCGAGTAGGTGCAAACAAACACTAGCATATACTGGTAACCTCCTGCTCAAGGCAACTCGGTAAAGTCTATAAGCAGGTTCTCACAAGGCACAGCTCCTACTTCCTGAATTCCTGGAGGTTGAGTAGGTCCTCGTTTTGGATTACTCCGGGCACAAGATAGACATTGTTCACAAACAGCACGGGTCATGGCAGACAGCCATGGCACATAGAGATGCCAACCTATCCAAGTCTCTAGAGCTGTCCTTCCAATGTGTGTTCCTTGATGGATCTGCTTCACAAACCTTGGGGCTATTGTCTCTGGGATGGCTAGCCTCCTGTCAGAGCCACCATCCACCTTTAATATATTTTTTTGTTTCCTGACCAAACCAAGCTGTTTCACTTGAAGAGTAATTGGGTACCTCCGGCAAAGGGGGCTCTATAAGGAGAGGCGTTGCTATAGGTCTTTCTTCAGGTAAAGCCTTGCTCATTGATGCCCGCAGAGCCTCTAGGTCTGCCTTTCTGTTGCCCTGTGATTCATAGCTTTTTTCCATTTAGTGTTCTTTGCAATGAATGACAGCCACCTTTTCTGGAGCCTATATGGCTTCTAATAATTGCAAAATTTCCTCTTTATTTTTTTTTTTAATTTTTTTTCCTTTAGTAGTCAAAAGTCCTCTCTCTTTGCATGTTGCCCCATGGGCATGCAGGGTTGCAAAAGCATATCTTGAATCAGTATATATATTTACTTTCTTCCCCTTGTCCAATAACAGTGATCCGGTTAATGCTATTAATTCAGCCTTCTGAGCAGAAGTCCCAGAAGGTAAGGCTTGAGCCTCAACTGCTGAGTGTTGGGTCACTACGGCATACCCTGCATATCGTACCCCATCTGTTATGAAACTGCTACCATCAGTGAAGTATTCAACATCTGGGCTCTCCAAGGAGGATATCTCTGAGATCTTCCTGGCTCGAGAACACTTCATCCACCGTATTTAGGCAACAGTGGAGAAGGTCCTGCCAGCAGCGAGGCAACCTACCGTCCTTCCAGTCGGGTTCCTCCACAGGCAGCAGGGGAACTGGGTTCAAGGTATTTACAGTCTCCAGTGTTATCTGGGGATTTTTACACAGAAGCCCTTGATACTTTAGCATTCTAGAGTTGGACAGCCAATGATGTCCTCTTTGCTCCATTAAGGTGACTACAGCATGTGGCACCCGAACTATTAACTTCTGACCTAGGGCTAGCTTGTTGGCATCTTTTAGAAGGATTGCAGTAGCTGCCAACGCCCTGAGGCAGTGGGGCCAACCTAAGGCCACCAAGTCCAGTCTCTTGGATAAGTGTGTTACCGGCCGATGCTAAGAGCCCAGCTGAGTTACGACTCCGACTGCCATTCCCTTTCGTTTATTCACATACAAAAAAAGGGCTTTTTAATATCTGGCAACCTTAGCGCCGGGGCTTGGATGAGAGCTTCGTTTATATCTTTGAAGGCCTTTTCCTATTCCTTTTCCCATAGGAGGGGCTCTCTTTCTTTTCCTTTGGTAGCCTCATATAAGGGCTTTGCTATAAGGGAGAAGTTTGGAATCCAGATTCGGCAGAATCCCGCCGCACCTAGAAATTCCCTGACCTGTGGGTGGGCAATGCACCTACAGCCTCCTTGCGTGCACTTCCAAGCCTGCACTGGCCTTGGGATACCATGAATCTTAGCTATCCAACCTGCTGAAAAAAGACTTTTGCCTTGTCCTTGGACACTTTGTAAACTGGCCTGTATTCACCATTTGGCTTCTGCACAGGCAGCAGAGGAGTATTCCAGGAGGACTTGCATTTCAGTATAATCCTATGTTCACAGAGCCGATTTAAATGTTTCGTTATGCCATCAATTGCCTCTCTGGGTAGTGGGTATTGACGGACTTGTACCGGGGAACATAAGGGCTAAGCTCTACTACGACCGGGGGTCTGTTTGCAGCAAGTCCAGGGAGGTTGTGCTCGGTCCATACACCTGGTACCTTGAAAAGCATTCCCCGCATATTGTGTAGGTCCGCCTCCAGTGGCCTTCTGGCACACAGTTTATAGAGCCGCCATTTCTCAGTTCTTGAGACAGTTATAGTCAAAACCATTGCCTTAAACTTTCTAAACTCTAGTGTCATATTCTCTTTAGGTGTAAAGGAGATTTGTGCCTGCAGTTTCTGGAGTAAGTCTCTTTTCAACAAGGGCACTGGATAATTTGGCATATATAGAAACTCATGCTGCACTTTTTGTCCCCCAATAATACATCTCCTGGATTTGCAAAAAGGCCTCTTTTCTTTGGCGCCAGTAGCCCCTACGATAGTAGCACAGTTCTTTGTGGGGGGACTAATTGGTGAGTTACCACAGAGAAATCAGCACCAGTATCGACCAAAAAATCCATTAATTGGCCCCCTACTTCCATAGAGACTATAGGCTCCCCGGGGCCTAAAAGGATGGAGCCCGGTCTATCAGTCCTCTAAATTCTCAGCCCCCGCTAAGCCGATCAGATCAGGATCTGCCTTTGAAGCATGACAACTAGCAACCGAACGCTGCACTCGGGTGTTAGACCATTGACCATTTTCCTTATTCTTTTGACATTTATCCTTCTAGTGTCCTTTCCTTTTGCACTGTCCGCATTAATCTCTCTCTAGCCTCGGCCGGCTTTCAAACTCCTGTCCAGACTAGCCTTTTCCACGACTGTGTTCACGCCCACGTCCCTGCCTCCTTGCAAAGCCAGCTTCTCTTCCTGTAAGGGCTGCTGCTAGTAAATTAGCCTTTCTTAAGCCTCCGATCAGCTTTCTTTTTTGCCTCTTGATCTCAGTTAATGTACACCTTGGTAGCCACCTTAATAAGCTGAGTAGCATTCACGCCTACGGAGCTTCTAACTTCTGCAATGTATGCCGGATATCTCCTTGGGCCTGTCTTACAAATGCTGTATCCACCACGTGCTGATTTTCAGCAGCCTTAGAGTTAAACGGAGTGTACAACCAAAATGCCCACAAAGTCTTTTTTAAAACTGGTTGGTGCTTTTATCTGCACCCTGGAGCACCTCTGAGATTTTTTTTATATATATATATATATTGGTTACCTTTTTCTTTTACCATCCTTTAGCCTTTGGCAGAAGTGCTTCTCGGCAATTTTGTAGGGGTTGAAGCTGGACTGCATCATCTGGGTCCTAGTGGGGGTCCTTTTGTCCTCTTAAGAGGCATAAGCATAACTTGGGCACGGCCAGACCTGAGACGGCCTGCCTGACTTTTTTGTAACCTTTCACTTTAACTTCCTGGAGCTCTGATTTTTTCTTCTGGGAGCCTGTATTTCTTTGAACTTAACTCCTTAGGGGCAGTTAGCCTTGGTAAAGGGGGGTAGATTGGAATGTAGGGAGGAGGGGTCTTTATTCCCTTCTGTGGTTCTTGCAAAACCAGTTTTCTCTTTCCTGAGACTTTTCTTTTGTCTCCATAGTTCCTGGCACAGCTGATTTTTACTTTCACTTTTGGCTTTTACTTTTCACTTTTTACTTGTGGAGTTACAAGGCTCTGTGACTTTCCCTTTAACTCTGTAGCTGCCAGCACAGCTGGTGTCTCTCGCCATGAGCTGCGAGCGTTCTACAATAAACTGCTAGGCAGGGCTGCATTCATTTAGCCATGAATCAATACAAAGACTAGGTCTGAATGCCCTGGTGGTCCTCCAACCCTAGTCACCACCTTAAAACACACGGCCAATTTCTCTGTAGTGCCTTCGGCCAGTCGTCCAACACTAAAAGAGGGCTATTCTAATTCACAGTATGTCCTTAAATTTTGAGCATCCAGTTTCATCCCATAATCACCTCTAAATCCTTTTTAAAAATTTTTTTATCATGCACTCCAAAGGAGTTGGTTTCGACGCTTTTCCTCCCATTTCCTCCCTTGCGGCGCACTTTCACTCTCACTTTTACTCTCGGGTCCACCAGACTGGGTCCTATTACGGGAGTTTTGGACGCTGCTTAGCCAGGAACGTGCCTTCCCCTCTCACAGCCTGCTGCAGCGGTGGACCTGGTCCTATCAGCCGTATACAACGTTCTAGGTCTGGTTTCCCCCACACTGGCCTCGGAACACAACCCGCACTAAGGGATCTGTGCCTCCCCTCGTCACTCCCCGCGTTGGCCTCTCCCGAGACCATCTCTTTCACACACTTTCACACACCTCCCCTACCCCAGGACTCCTCATCGGATGAAACAGGCCTCTCCATGTGCCGGGTGAGCCTAGTTAGGCTCCCACATTCACACACATACACACACCACTCCTACCCCAGGACTCCTCATTGGACGAAACGAGCCTCTCTCATGTCCCGGGTAGGTTCACACGCACATAC